>NC_000020.11:30456077-30608987 GCF_000001405.40 Homo sapiens | reverse complement strand
GTTCCTAGCTAAGTGTGCAAAAGAACCCTGGAATCACTACCACTTTGGTCTGATAAGCAGCCTTGCCTGATGCTTACCATACAGTCATAAAGGTATTGCTTCCCTGAGCCCTTAGGCATTATATCTTTCTAAAAATAATTTCTATCTTAGAAAATGTGTTGTAGAGATGGTGTCTTGCTATGTTGCCCAGGCTTGTCTTGAACTCCTGGCCTAAAGTGGTGAGATTATAGGCATGAGCCACTGTGCTTGGCCAGCACTATACTTCTATTAGTTGCCAATGCTTTCTTTGTTCTGTAGTTTCTAGTGTGTGCTTGAGCATGTGCGTATATGTGTGAGTTTGTGTGTGTGTGTTTTTACTTTACTTTTATCTTGCAGGGTTACGGCAAGCATCAAGTGGGATGATGTAGGCACAGCTGTCAGCCCAGTGCCTGGCACATACAGTGAGCTCCCTCTGTTCTCCTCTTTTCTCCTGCTGATTCAGAGAATGACTTAAGGATCTGTGATGTGTGCCAATTTTCAATGCCCTGGATAAACAATGGGGAGTTGGAGTGCTGTTGCCAGAAATTTGCGCTAGTTTTAATTAATTTTATCCATTTAGTGTAAGACATCTCAAAGTCACTGGATAAATTTATATAACATATGTTTATACACATAAGTGTGTCTCTTGAGAGCTGAGAGGCTGTTTTTGCTTTGTTCCCTGATGCTGCAGTAGAGGCCAATGTGTTCTGATTCCTTGAGTGATGGCTGCAAGCCCTCCAAGTGTCACAGTAGGTGAGGCATCCATGGGGACAAGCATCAAGGATGAATGTGGCCAGTCAGAATCTGCAAGCCCATTTGGTTTGTTCTCTTTATTTTTATAGTATGTTTTATTCATTTTTTAGGTTTATCATTTAATCTCTTATAAACATCTCTCCTAAAATGTTTCTTAATTCTACAAGGGGTTAATTGCATGAAGTAAGTCCAGAAATAGTCCAGGGCAGCCATGGATACCCAACATGCCATTGGGAAGTGAGAAATTTTGTAATTTGAAGGTTTTGTTATTGGGACCTTCAGTCCAATGGTCTTCAAGGTGCTAAACCCGACTCAGGGCATTTCATCCTATTTCCAGAGAGCAGCAAGCATAGAGAGCAAGGGGAACTTGGTTAAGAGAAAAGAGGAACAATAACTGTCCCATTTCCAAACAGATTTTCTGAATCTGAGTTCTAATTGAGGGATAAGACAATGATAATGGCATGGCAGCAATTGTTCACATTTACAGTGCTTCAGTCCTATACTGTGCTCATTAATGCCCAATAAGTGAGGAGTTGGAACTGAAAGCTTTCTTTATTTATTCCAATTGTAGTCTCCCTCCAGGGTGTGGAATCATGTGTAACAGGAGGGATACGTGTTTAAAGAGGTCTTTTCTTCATTTTTTACTTCCAGAAGAAGTCTCTGCAGTGTGACTTCTTGTATGAACTATGAGTCTGAGGTAATAATGAGTCTTTTTTTTATCATATTCCTTACTTTCATAGTTTTGCTCCAGTGTGAGAACAAATATCTACTCAAGGTGAATGAATATGAAAGGCTTTCCATAGACTTTACTTTCACAGGGTTTCTTTTCACACTTCTGTAAGATATGAGAGTTCCAGAAAGGTGTTCTCATGAATGTTAACTCGTTGAGCTCCCTTCCAGTATGTCCTCCTTACATGTTCAGTATGGTGAAAAAATTAATGATGATTTTCCCACCTTTCATTCACAGGGCTTCTCACTATTGTATCTCTTAAGATGATAGCTTTTAATTCCAATGACTTTGCAAAGTCTTTTCCACATCTGTCACATTTATAGGATTTCTTTCCAGCACGACTCCTTATATGTGCATGTCTTGAGGCTCGCTGAAGTCTTTCCCACATTCCTTAAATTCAAAAGGCTTCTCCATAATGTTCTTTCTTAAATGTTTATTAAGGTGTAGGGAATATCTAAAGGCTTTCCCACTTTAGTTATATTCGTAAGGTTTCTTTCCAGTGTGAATTTTCATATGTCTCATGAGAAATGACTGATAAGTAAAGGCTTTCCCACATTTGGGACATGTATGGCTTTTCTCTCCAGTAGTACTACTCCTGTGTGAAGTAGAGTTTGGAGCAGGGGCAGAGGTTTTTCCACTTTGATGATTCTTATTCTTACTCTCTACAGTACAGGACTGCATCTGCGCAGTGTGGATTGAGTTATTTGCAAAGATGTTTTCACTTTGAGTAAAATTATATGTTTTCTCCCTAACATGAGTTATGAGGGCCCTAAGGCATACATCCTCACTGCAGTCTATTCCAAATGGACTCCACTCATGAATGTTTGCCCTCATATTAATTTGACTTTGCATATGATGGACATTGTTCTGACTGCCTGTCCATGTGTTTGATTTTAGCTCTGTTTTTCTCCCATATAAAACCTAGTGAATATTGCACCTCAAGACTATCATTGTTTTCATATATATTACCTTATTTCAATAGTTTTTGGGAAACAGGTGGTTTCTGGTTACATGGAAAAGTTATTTAGTGGTAATTTCTGAGATTTTGGTTTACCCATTACTCGAGTCATGTACACTGTACCCAATGTGTAGTCTTTTATTCCTCACCCCCACAACCTTCCCTCCAAGTCCCCAAAGTCCATTATATCATTCTTATGCTTTACAGCCTCATAGCTTAGCTCCCACTTATAAGCGAGAATGCACAATATTTGTTTTTTTGTATTCCTGAGTTACTTCACTTAGAATAATCATCTCTAACTCCATCTAGGTTGCTGCAAATGCCATTATTTGGTTCCTTTTTAGGGCTCAGTAGTATTCCATGCTGTATACATACCACATTTTCTTTGTCCACTCATTGGCTGATAGACACTTAACCTGGTTCCATATTTTTACAACCGCAAATTGTGCTGCTATAAATGTGTGTACAAGCATCTTTTTCATATGACTTCTTTCCCTTTAGGTAGATACCCAGGAGCAGGCTAACACAAATTTAAATTGAGATAATTATAAAATAAAGTAATGATCAAGTGAAAATTACTATTTCTAGTAGTAAAAGAAAATACATTTAAGGAGTAAAATTTGAACATATTTCTGCTCACATAAAGACCATATCACTTCCGTATTTTGTGTAAATGGTATGTTTTATCTCACTAGACTCATTCTGTGGTTAATTTGTGAGGAAGGGTTGGAGAAAATAATGTATCTTTAAATTTAGTTTCTCGATTCACATTTTTCTTCAAGTTTCAATAGCTCTCTTTTAGGAAAATGCCTCCAAGAAGATGTTCAGATGCTTTTGGCTTTCTGTGGCCTGAAGACAAAGGAGAAGTGAGTCTCAAGTCTCTTATTGTCTTCATGCTGTTCTCTAGACCTCTGCTTTCTCTGTGGCAGAGGGTCTTTCTGGATTAAACTTAAGATTATACTTAGCAAAGGAGGTAAAAGGTAAAAATATCCCTTTTATTTTTTAATAGAGGGTCTTGCTCTCTCACTCAGGATGGAGTGCACTGTTGTGGTCATAGCTTAATGTAGCTTTGAACTCCTGAGCTCAAGTAACCCTCCCACCTCAGCCTCCAGAGTAGCTAGGACTATAGGCATAGGCTACCATGCCTGGCTGTTTTTTTATTTTTATTTTTTGAAGAAATGGAGTCTTGCATTTTTGCCCAGGCTGGTCCTGAACTCCTGGACTCAAGCCATCTTCCAGTCTCGGCTTCCCAAAGTGCTGGGATTACAGGCATGAGCGGCTGTGCCTCGCCAGGATTAAAAATATTCTTTACACTTCTTGATGGGTAGCAATATATATACATAGGAAAATACTGAATAGTCAAAAATTTGTCTCCAATGAGAAGCCTGCCCTCTATCCCTGCTGAGCACAGCCACCAAAGTGTGGCCTCTCCAGAGATGGCCACTGGAATCGGGGACCTGTGTGTCTTTCCAGAACATTCTGATTACAGACAGGGCATATTTATGGATTTCCTTCAATCTTCCACACACAAAAAAAGATGTATCTCTATACTCTTCTACAAACTTGTGCTCTTTGCTGAACAGTATACATCTTGGAAATTGTTCCAGATCAGCAAATACAGGATTTGTCCTTGTGGGCACTCCAGAATATTCCTCTCAGTCTCCCAAGAATGGACACTTATCTTGACTTGAATCTATTGCTGCTGCAGTGAATACACATGATCCACGTATCTGTGGGGAGAGGACATGTAACAGGGTCTGTGTCTAAAATACCAACAGCTCCTACTGAAGAAGTTTTTACTAATGTGTGTTTTTGCCAAGAATATGAGAGAATGCTTGTTGGTCTATATCAGCAGGAACATGTCAGGCACACCCCAGACTTTTGACCTTCGCCAGCCGGATAGGTGAGAAATCTTATTGCAGTTGTAGGTTCCATTTCTTACTACAAGTGATGTTGCACAGCTTCTCATATGGTAAAAAGCAGTTTGTGTGGCCTTTTATATAAACTGTTTACTTAAAGTTAAATCACTAGTCAGACAGATAACATTTTCATTTTGTGATTTGGAAAATGAATTTTCATATTGCTTACTACATCCTTCATGTGCATTTCAGAAGTAGATGGAGGTTTCCCTTAGGTACGTATGACTCATTTGCAAGCAAGCATTTATTTTGGGTCTTGATGTTTTTCAGAATAATGGGCAGTTATGGTATTGTCCTGAATTGTTTTGATGTTTGTACCTACAACGTTGACTGCAGCACACTCTTGCAGGGCACTGGGAGGGGTGTCCCCCACCCACCAGTGTCTCTGTGGGCTTGTGAGGAGGGCCAGTTCTCCTCTGAGGCCCATGCCATAGCCAGCCCTGACATGCTCTTGTTTGCTCACAGATGGGAGACTTTAATTGCATCTTTCCCGTGGAATGATGGAGCCAATGGGAACTCCAGGGCTTCCCCACTTCATCTATAAGCAGGCACAGCTGGTGCCAGGCCCTTAGGCTTCCTGGTCACAGAGCATTAGCTGTCTGGGGCTATTGAGATGTGCCTGGCAAAGCACTTTGCCTGAGAGCTGAGTAACCAGGGCTCGTGAAGGATAAGTGACTTACCTCCACAGTTCAGGTGGCTCTGCTCCATATGTGATTCCCATCGGTCATGCTTGGGGTTTTCTTTGAGCAAATATATTCTAGAAATGCAGTTAAGAAGTGAATTCCCGGAGAAGCTAGTCAAAGCCAGCACCTCAGCACAGACTCCATGGCTGCATGCAAAGAGGCCTGCAAGAAGGCAGCTCTGGGACTTGAGTCACACATTTGGGCTGCTCCTCTAGATGGGATTCTGTGGCCCCTGTAACAGAAGTTATAGCCCTGATGGGTCATGGGGAACCCTGGGTAATTAGTGACAGGGTACTTAGGGTTGGCCAAGGGCCCTGAAACAGGCTGTGCTGCGGTGGCACCCAGGCCTGGCTTGTCCTTAGGAACAGTTTCTGACTCAGTAGGTGCCAGTGGGGATTGAGGTTCTGATTTTCTTTTTCTTTTTTTTCCCTTGAGACAGGGTCTCACCCTATCTCCCAGACTGGAGTGCAGTAGAGCAATCATAGCTACTGCAGCCTCGAACACCAAGGCTTAAGCGAGGAAATCCTCGAACCTCCTGCCTCAGCCTCCTGAGTAGCTGGGATTACAGGCATGTGCTACCATTCTTGGCTAATTTTTGTACTTTTTATAGATACAGGGTCTTACTGTGTTACCCAGGCTGGCTTCAAACTCCTAGGCTCAAAAAACAAGGATATCACCTCAGCATCCCAAAGCACTAAGATTACAGGCAAGAGCCACCGCACCTGGCCCACATTTTCAGACCAGAAATCTCTATGGGTTGTCAGCTCCTGGGCTGGTCCCTCTCCTCCTGGCTGCTGGGTGGACCTGGTGCTTTTGCCTCTACACATCCCTTTCTTGCTGTTTCATCCTCACAAGTTCCTGTGGAGTAGGTGGTTCCTTGTCCCCTTTCTGGATGAAGGAAGGCACTGAGTTACCTGCCCCAAGGCTGCTGAGGGGAGAGGCACATGGTGTCAGGGCTTGCCCTCTACCTCAGACCTTGGCCACATCCCTCTAGAGTGAGTGACATTGGCTTACAGGGTCATCACCCACTTGTTTTGTGGATTTCGTGACAAATTGAGAAGTTTAAGCAGCACAGGCTCTTTAAGCAGCACAGGGTGGACCTCACTTCCTCTCCCAGCAGCAGGGCATTTTCCAGATTCCTGGAGCAGTGTCCCCGGGGCAGACATGGAGGGTCCCAGCTAGCTTCTGTTCCCTCTGGCTGCCCTTCCTGCTGAAGAGAAGCACAGGGAAGGTGCAAATGAAGGCATCATGGCTAGGGAAGAAGAAACTTTGGGTGACATGGGGGCACAGCCCAGCTGGACAGAGGCTGCCCAGCCCCTCCAACCTCTCTTTAAAGACAGGAAGGGGCTGAGCTGGGGTCCACTCAGCTCATGCTCCTGGAGGTGTGGACATGGTACACTTGGGAAGAGAGAAGAGATGTCAACATTCTTTCCACGCAGATTCTCTGTTTTCTGTGGAGTTTCGTGCTTTCTCAGCTACTCCCTGCCAGAAATGAAAGCTAGGGTCATGGTCCACCAGCCCAGCAGAAAAAAATGATGATGGTGGTGAGGATGATGATGGTAATGGTAGTGATTGTGATGGTAATGATGATGGTGGTGATGGTGATAGTGATGATGATGGCAATGATGACAGTGATAATGGTGATGGTAATAATGATTGTGATAGTGATGATAGTAGTGGAGATGGTGATAGTGATGATGATGGTGATGGTGATGATGGTGATACAAATGGTTATGGTGATGATGGTGATAGAAATGGCGATGGTGATGTTGGTGGTGATGATGGCAGTGATGGTGATGATGATGATGGTGATTATGATGGTGATAGTGATTGATGATGGTAATGGTGATGATGATAGTGATGATGGTGATGGTGATGATGATGGTGGCAGTGATGGTGATGACGATGGTGATGGTGATGATAACTATGACAAGTAGTAAACTATCCTTACAGGCACCAGCTATGTACCAGGCACAGTAGTAGGCATGGTACATACAACTCCTCCAGTATTTTAGTCGTTGATCTTCTACTGGATATGATGATCCACTCTCTGCAGAGAAGGAGTCTGAGACTCACTGAAGTTGTGTACATCTTGTTGTCACACAGTTGTTGGTGGCAATCACAGCCCAGGGTTTCTGCGTGCACTGGGTGTCACAGGCTTCAGGTGATGCCCCATGTGTTGTGCTGGGAGGCCTTTTTTGCCATCCTGTTAGCCCCTTAACACTTGGCCTCTTCCCCTCTCTCCACAGGTTCCTTGTGAGACACCTGGGGGACTCCAAACACCAGGAATCCATCTGCCTGCTGGTCCGGAGACAGGGATCCTCAGCCTCCTTCCAGGGTTGATGGCTCAGGAGGCCTTCTCTGCAGGGGACCAGGACACAGGAAAGCCAGGAAGAGATGAGCAGGGAAGGGAGCTGTTGGGGGCCATTCTGGTTTTAAAAATAAAGCAGGACTTTTGTTGCTTGTTATAAAAGGAACACATGCTCATTTTCTGTGATTTAGGAAAGCACAGAAAAGTATAACGGAAAGAAGAACGTGGCCGCTGCCTAGTACCATGGAAAAAAGGGCTGTAGTTTTTAGTGTCTGCCTAGACTGTAAAGTTCTAAACTCGAAAACTTGTACAACTCATTGTTGAATGGCTGTGTAATACTCCATCACATGAGCACATCATTTCCTGGTTACCTGACCCTTACTGGCTAGAGATGTGTGGTGTTCCTAATTTTTGCTATTTTAAATAACCATGGGAGGAACCACATTAACATAAATCTTTGGGTGCCTTTGTGCTTTTTGCCTTAAAATAGATTTGCCAATGTGGAATTACTGGCCTGAAGGGTGCAAATCTTTTTAAAGCTTTTGATACATACTGCTGGGCTATAGGAAACACCTTCCCAACTTAGTCCCCTGACTACAAGGGAAAGAGTGCCTGCCCTGCAGCCCCACCTGCATTGTGGATTTGTATTATTAAAAGATAAGCCTTGCCAGAGGGACATTTCTAGCTTGAATGTGTGCCTGACACCAATGTGAGCTCCAACAGTGTGCCTTGAACCCAGTGCCAGATGCTGCAGAGGGCTGCAAAGTAAGGCAAAGGCTCTGTGTGTCTGCCTCACCTCTGGTAATGAAAGAGGCCACTTCCTTTTTTGTTATTTCTCCTATATATATATATTTTTTTTTTTTTTTGAGATGGAGTTTCACTCTTGTCACCCAGGCTGGAATGCTATGGCTCAATCTCAACTTACTACATCCTCCACCTCCTGGGTTCAAGCGATTCTCCTGCCTCAGCCTCCCAAGTAGCTGGGATTACAGGCATGTGCCACCACACCTGGCTGATTTTGTATTTTTAATAGAGATGGGGTTTCGCCATGTTGGCCAGGCTGTTCTCGAACTCCTGACTTCAGGTGATCCGCCCGCCTCGGCCTCTCAAAGTGCTGGGATTACGGGTGTGAGCCACCGCACCCAGCCAATTTTTTTTAATGTCAAAATCAGGTTCAAAAATTATGGTTTACATTAAACAGATGTTCTTAACAACAATAGAAGAAACCAGGAATATAATCCAGTTGTAATCAGGAGATCATTTCTAGACTTGGCCTTGTCTGGATGGTGGCATGGTTGGAGGGTTTCTGAGCCAGGGGCCAGGGCCAGGTGTCAGTCATCCCTGGCTGGGCTTCTGTGCTGGATCCTCCAGACCCTCTGAAGGTAGCACCCAGCCCACTCAAGGTCCCATGGGGGGCAGTGCCCTGTGGCCCGCAACAGGGCTACAGCTCCATGAGCAGGGATGTCACTGGCATGCTTGGGCTCATAATTCCATGTCACCCATGAGAAAGACACTGTGTCCTGTCTGCAGAGCGGGGATTCCTGTGGGAAGAGCTCAGGAGAGCCACTAGCCCTCTGGGGCCACCCTTGCCTGAGGATCTTATGCAGCCAGACCAGAACCTGGGAGAGAGTGCAGGTTTGGCGGGGAGCGGGCTGACTTCCTAGAGAGCAGACAGGCTTCTTAGAGATCCTCAGAGACAATTGTGGAGCCTCTGGAAGTGTCTGAATTCTACGCTCCCCACCCCCGACCCCTTTCTGTTTTCTTTTTCTTGACCATTTCCTTTGGTGTCTGTATTAGTTAGGGTTCTCTAGAGGGACAGAACAAATAGAAGATATATATATATATGAGTTTATTAAGTATTAAATCACATGATCATAAAGTTCCGCAATAGGCCATCTGCCAGCTGAGATGCAAGGAAAGCCACCCACAGCCCACAAGCACGTGGACATCTGGAATTGCCCACTCTGCATTAGTGAGGAGGTGAGGTTGGTTTTGTGTTAATGGGAAGTGTGTGCCCGATTTTGTCTCTGAAATAAGAACTTATCCACTAATATGGCCTTGGGATGCTGTAACTGTTTTGGTGTTACCTAGTCTCCTTCAGATTCTCAGTGTCTTATGCTCCTAGCTTTAGTGCAAGGAAAATGTTTTCCATTTTTCTGTAGCTATTATTATTCTCTTATTTTTTTCATTTTGCCAACTTTCCAAGTAATTTCTTAGGGGGCATTTAGAGAGTCTTAATTCTGATACAATAAAATACATGCCCAGTGTCAGCAAACAGCCCCTCCTGTGAGGACAGAATGGCCCCAATGAAGCTCAGTGTGCTGGAGCATGCACAGTCGGGGCCCTGAATCCCAGCAGCAGCCCCAGGAGTTAGGTGCTGTCTCCTCAACATATAACCACAGCTAGTGACAGAACCAAGCTGAAAGCCCTGAGACTTAGTTTCACCTGCCAAGTGGCCACTGTCACGGTTGGTGGCACAGGCAGTGGGGGTTGGAGCAGTGATGCAGATGTAGGATCAGTGCCAGCAGGGGATCTGGTCTGGATCCCTGTGGAGGGTCCACTTCCTTCAGCTTTGGTGGGGGAGGAGGGGCAGCCCGGTTGTCACCCCCCAGTGGGCAGGACCCGGATGCAGCCCCTGCCTCTGGCCTTGTCACCCAGGTGGTGGTGGGGTGCTGAGGCCTTTGGTTCTCTGAGCTTATTTGGGCAGCAGAAGGACCCTCCCACTGTGACCATTTCTCTTTTCTCTCAGTCTCTTGGGGTCTCCTGCACAAAGCAGCAAATGACTGACAGGTGGCTGTCCTGGTCAAGGTGAGGCCTGTCACCTGTGCCACCCAGTTCATCCTCCCAGTGGGTGTCCCAGGGGTGGGTGGTGCTGGAAGCAGGAAGCCCCCAAGGGGCCCCTGCTTGTGTAAGTGTATTGGCTGTGCCAGGGCAGGGCATCCTGCAACAGACACTGGCCCAGAGCCTGGAGCCACACAAGCGGGCACTGCATGGAGGGCGGGGCCAGGTGTGAGGACCAGATCCCCACCTGACCTTCCTGTGCTGAGTCACTGGCTCACCATGGCTGTTGGCACCTTGTCCCTGCTACATCAGAGGGAGAGGTGAGGCCTGGGATGCCAGAGGGATGGAGTTTGAGGAGACTAGGACTTCCTTGCACTCACAGGCACAGCTGGGGCCTCATGAAGTTTGGGCTTGGGGTCCAGACAGGGCACAGCCAGCCTGTCCATATGCTGAGCCTGAGGTCATGCTGAGGTGTGTTCCTTAGCTCGGTTGGCAGAATAACAGCCCCTGAATGCACTCATGTCCTAATCCTGCAACTTTAAGTTGCATGGCAAGAGAGGAGGAAGGGAAGCTGTGGATGGAGTTGGGGCTGTTCACCCAGCTGTGAATGGGGAGGCTGCCCTGCATGTCTGCACAGCTGCAGTGTCCTCACAGTGGTCCTTAGGAGGGGAGGAGGGCAGGAGGAGGGTTGAGTCAGGGTGATGTTTGTGAGAGCTCGGCTGGCCATCACTGGCTTTGAACATGGAAGGGGCCAGGAGCCAGGGAGTGCAGGTGGCCTCTAGGAACTGGAGGAGTTGGAGACAGATTCTCCCTAGAGCTTCCAGAGGGAGCTGCCCTTGCCCACACCTTGATTTTAGCCCATTGAGACCCATTTGGACTTCCAAACTCCAGCCTGGAGAGCGAATCCTTCAGGTGGGCTCCTGTCCAAAGGCCCTGTGAGGATCCTGGTGACTCCAGCCCCTCACCCCAAGTCTTGTCCCAAGAACAGGCATGTTTCAGGGAGTGCTGGCCCTGCTAACTGAGCACTGAGTCTGTCTGTTCTACTCTGAGTTTGGTGGTCTGACCTCTGACCTTCTGCCTGAGGGTCAGCACCAACCCATAAAGGCCTGGCAGGTAGGGGTGTGTGATGAGCCATGTGTGTGTGAGGCCCTGCTGAGATGGTGCAGAACCAGGTCAGCGTGGTGTAGGTCATCCTGTGGCTTCATCTGCTCCAGATGCTGCAGTGAGAGCACAGCCTGGAGCAGCCTGGGGGCCAGGTGAGGGTGTGGACATGGGGCATGGCTGTGACTATGGATGTGGGCATGGACATGGAGCGTGGATGTGGCTGTGGATGTGGATTTGGGGTCTCACATGGATGTGGGGTCTGACATATGGTGTGGATTCTGGGTCTAATTTCTGGGCTGCAAGAGCTCAACTGGCTCCCCTCCAGGGCAATGTAGTATAATATGTGTCTTTGAAATGAATAATGATGGTGCTGAAGGGACTGTCCTCAGCTCCCAGCTCATCCAGCCCCACAAAAGTCTTTGCATGTGACTGAAACTTGGTGTCACTGATGAGAACCTGAGGTATACATGGCACTGTGGTCAGTGCATGTGACATTTTCCAGCCCTGTCCTGTCCTCCTCTTTGCTGAGCTCTTCTTCACATGCCATAGTGCTGTGCCCTGGTCCAGTTCCTGGCTTTGGGCCTTTACTTCCATTAGGAAGACACCTTTAGTATAAACTTCATGAAGGAAGAATATTAACACTTTGTCATATTCGATGTAAATATTTTTCATAGCGTGCATTTTAAAGTTTGTTTTGGTGTTTTGGAGCATGATTTTCATCCATCAATGTTCTTGCTGACTTTCCTTCCAATTTTTGTTTGTTTCTTTATAAAGAAAGTCACTTTGCACCCTGAGAGCAGAGCAGACAAGTATTCCCTCACGTTGTGCTTTCTATGGCTTTTTTTTTTTTTTTTTAATTTTTTGGCGGAGTCTCACTCTGTCGCCCAGCCTGGAGTGCAGTGGTGCGATCTCAGCTCGCTGCAACTTCCACCTCCCTGGTTCAAGTAGTTCTCCTGCCTCAGCCTCCCGAATAGCTGGGATTACAGACGTGTGTCACCACGCCTGGCTAATTTTTTGTACTTTTAGTAGAGACAGGGTTTCAGCGTGTTAGTCAGGATGGTCTTGATCTCCTGACCTCATGATCCACCCACCTCAGCCTCCCAAAGTGCTGGGATTACAGGCATGAGCCACTGTGCCCAGCCAATGGCCTTTCTTTTACATTTGACTCTTTGGACTGCATGGACTTTATTTTAGCTTGTATTCTAAGATAGAGTGAATTTCATATTTTCAAAAACAATTTGCCAAGATCTTTTTCTGGGCTTCATGCTCTGTTGTCAGAACTCAGGACTGTGGTGGCTGTAGAAGAGAAGACTCGTCTAGGGCCCAAGACCATGGTGGCCTGAGGGTTAGTCTCATACATTGGGCACTAATAAAAACAGCTCACGCTGTCTAACAAGTGTTTTCTCTGGGCCAGGCCCACCCATCTCTTTGCCTGGCTTCAGTTGCATGTGTAAATGTCCCAAGGGCAAGGGCAGTACTATCCCCAGTGAATGAATAAGGAGACTATTCTGTGTATGGGCAGGCACTTAACCTCTCATACCTCAATTTCCCTATTCTGGTAAATAAGGCTAATAATAAGAATTCCCATTATTTCAGGGTTGTTGGAAAACAATGCTATTAGAGTTCTTGGCATGCTGCCTGTCTCAGAGTGAGTGCTCAGGCAGAGTTAGTGATGATGGAGTTTGTGATGGTGGTGATGGTGGCGATGATGATGATAGTAAGGAGGATGATGATGGTGGTGATAGTGATGATAATGATGGTGATGGGTGTGATGACAATGATGGTGTGGCCATGTTGGTGATAATGGTGCTGGTGGTGATGATAGTGGTTGAGATGATGGTGATAATGCTGGCATGGTGGTGTTGGTGGTGATGGTGGTGGTGATGATGACAGTGGTTGAGATGATGATGACAATAATGGTGTAGCAATGTTGGTGATGGTGCAACCTCCGCCTCCTGGGTACAAGCAGTTCTCCTGTCTCACCTCACCTGGTGATGGTGATGATAATGATGATAGTGGTGGCGGTAATGATGATGATGGCGGTTGAGGTGGTGATGATAATGATAGTGTGGCAATGTTGGTGATGGTGATGATGATGATGGTGGTGGTGATGATAGTGGTTGAGGAGTTGATAATGATGGTGTGGCAATGTTGGCGATGGTGATGTTGGTGAAGGCCATGGTGATGATGTCACTCTCAAAAGGGCAAGTTCTTTTTTTTTCTCTTTTATTGAGTTAAAATTTACATAGCATAATATTAATCATTTTAAAGTTAACAATTCAGTGGTACTTAATAAAGTCACAATGCTATGCAACCATTGCCTCTATCTAGCTTCAAAATATTTTAATTTCCAAAGGAAACTCCATACCCACTAAACTGTAACTCCTCATTCCTCTTGCCTCCCACTGTCTGGCACCACTAGTCAGCTTTCTGTCTCTTTGGATAGACCTATTATAAATATATTATCATTTCACATGAGTGGAATCATACAGCATTAGTCCTTATGTGTCATGCTTCTCTCATTTAGCATAATGCCTTCAAGATTCATCCACATCGTAGGATGTAAGAGGACCTCATTCCTTTTGAAGGCTGAATAATATTCCATTGTATATACAGACTACATTTTGTTTATTCATTCACTATGAGTTACACGTGTAAGCTCAGCACTTTGTGAGGCTGAGGTAGGAGGATTCCTTGAACCCAGGAGTTCAAACCACACTGGGCATCATAGTGAGAACACCCATCGCTACAAAAAAAAAAAATTAAAATTAACCTGGCAATGTGACATGAACCTGTAGTCTCAGCTATTCCAGAGGCTGAGGTGAGATGATTGTTTAAGCCTGGGAGAGCAAGGCTGCAGTGAGCCATGGTCGCACCAGAGCACCCCAGCCTGGATGACAGAGAACCTGTCTCAAAAAGTAAAAAGGATAAAATCTAAAAAGAAATGTATTAAATCAAGACATGTAGACATAGTAAATAATAGAGAACCCCCTCTCCACAAAAGCCTTGTATATATAGTCAAAATGATCTTCAACAAGGGTGCAAAGGCCAAACTATGGAGAGGGAATAGCCCCCTTTAACAAAAAACGGTATGAAGACTTGCTATCAACATGTAAAATATAGAAGTCAGAATTGTAGTTTATACTACATTTTTTTAAAAACTCAAAATGTGTAAGTCTGAAAGCCTTACACAAAAATATAAGGGAAAAATATCCAAAATTATGCCATGGAATTTGGCAATGGGTTCTTGACTGCCAGCAGCCCCACATCCCTGGAGCATCCATCCGCTCACCGCTGCCTGGTGCTGAGTCCTTCCACACCTGTCACACTGCTTTCTGCGGGGCTCTGAGCGGCACGAGCCAGGACACCACGCGGAGCACAGGGCACAGGCTGGGCTTTATCGGGCTATTCGAGGGCAGGCTGTCCCCATGACCGCCTCAGGCGCTGGAGGGAGGACGGCCTGATCTGAGTCTGCAGAAGGAGGAAGAAGCTCGTTCCCTGAGCCGGCAGGGACACAGACGCGGATGCGGGACACAGGGACACAGGGGTGGATGCCATAACAATATATGGCATATATTTTGAAACATGGCCGCAATTTGAACAATTAGAATATCTAAAAACTCCAAAGATTGTTATGCTGAAACTGCACCAAAATTTATCATTCCAGTGACTACACGGAATTTTTAATAGTTGTTATTTTTATAATACAATTAAACTTTAATGAAATAACTGACTTTCAAACTTCAGCAAGAAGACAAATATTCAGCCAGAGGTATCAGTTCCCTGTTTCTGCTCCGGGTCCTCTCTGGTCTCCCACAGACCCTCCCGTATCACCCAGGTCTAAGGGGCCACTGGCCTGGCCTGCGTCCCTTCGTCCCTCCCCTTCCCCACCCAGCTCCTGCAGCGCCCTCCTGGGGCAGGGGCGGCGAACCGTCCAGAGCGGGAGGCTCCCTCACCCAGGGCAGCACAGCTCCGCCCCTCTCCGCACCTGCCCAGCCCCTGGCAAAGGAGTCGCCTGGGCCTGGCCCGCTGCCTGCCCCCCATACCTGCCCTGTGCCTGAAACGGCGACGCTGCCAACAAGAGGTGCCAGAGACCGGGGCGCAACCCGCCCAGAGCGCAGGGTCCCACTCACCTGGGAGCAGGGGCACGTCCCTCCCGGTAGGCGATGAAATTAAGATTGTTTCCTTATTTATTTTACTTAAAACTGGTAGAATGTTACTATTATATGAAGTACCCATGACTCTGTCAGTAAATTTGAGCAAACGTTTATTAGTTTTTGTCAGTTTAACTAGTTCTTTTGTGTCTATTATTAAGGTGAAATTTAACTTCTATCTGAAATCAGTAAGATACAGAGAGATTTTAATGACAAGTGAATATTTTTTTCTCAGGGGGAACTGAATTATGAATTGAATGAATGAATTATGAATTAAATGAATGAATTCATTACCAAGGTAGAGAGGACACTAACCAATCGATAGTTTTAATCAATCTGTATTCCCTCCCTCCTCCCTCTTTGTTTTTTTGTTTGTTTCTTTCTTTTTTTGTTTCTTTCTTTCTTTGTTTTTGAGACATAGTTTTGCTCCATCGCACAGGCTGCAGTGATGTGGCGCGATCTTGGCTCACTACAACCTCCGCCCCCCGGGTTCAAGCGACTTTCCGCCTCAGAACCCCGAGTAGCTGGGATTACAGGCGCCAGCCACCATGCCCAGTTAATTTTTGTGTTTTCATTAGAGGCGGGGTTTCACCACGTTGGCCAGGCTGGTCTCAAACTCCTGCCCTCGGGTGATCTGCTCACCTTGGCCTCCCAAAGTGTTGGGATTACAGGAGTGAGCCACCAGTCCCGGCCCCTCCCGCCCCTCTGTATTATGACCATGTGTACCCAGCATTTAGCTCCCACTTATGAGAGAGAACATGCGGTATTTTGTTTTTTGCTTTTGCATTAGTTTGCTGGAAACAATGCATCCATGTTGCTTCAAATGCCATAAATTTGAGTTTTTTATGGCTGTATAGTATTCCATGAGTCTTTATCCAGACCACAACTGATAGACGCCTGGGTTAAGTCTATGTCTTTGTGATTGTGAATACTGCTGTGATAAAAATATGGCTACATGTGTCCTTTTGGTAGGATATTTATTTTCTTTCGGGTATATACCCAGTAATGGGGTTACTGGGTTGAATGGTAGTTCAACTCTCAGTTCTTTGAGAAATCCCCAATCTGCTTTCCACAGTGGCTGAACTAATTTACATTCCTTCAGAAAGTGTATAAGTGTTCTCTATTCTCTAAATCTTCACCAATATGTGTTTTTCTTTTGACTTTTCAAAAAAAGCCATTCTGACTGGTGTGAAATGGTATTTCCTTTCGGTTTTGATTTGCATTTCTCTAATAAATAATGATGATGAGCACTTTTACATATGTTTGTTGGGTGCTTGTGTGTATGTCTTCTTTTGAGAAGTGTCTGTTCATGTCCTGTTGCCCACTTTTTAATGGAGTTACTTGTTGCTTGCTTGTTGATTTGTTTGAGTTCCTTATAGGTTCTGAATAATAGACCTCTGTTAGATGCGTACTTTGTGAATATTTTCTTTCATTCTGTGTGTTATCTCTTTACTACCTTGATAGTTTCTCTTGTTGTGCAAGAGTTTCTCAGTTTAATTAACTCCCACTTGTCAATTTTTGTTTTAGTTGCAATTGCTTTTGAGGACTTAGCCATAAATTATTTGCCATATGGAGAAATAGGAACACTTTTACACTGTTGGTGGGACTGAAAACTAGTTCAACCATTGTGGAAGTCAGTGTGGCGATTCCTCAGGGATCTAGAACTAGAAATACCATTTGACCCAGCCATCCCATTACTGGGTATATACCCAAAGGACTATAAATCATGCTGCTATAAAGACACATGCACACGTATGTTTATTGCAGCACTATCCACAATAGCAAAGACTTGGAACCAACCCAAATATCCAACAATGATAGACTGGATTAAGAAAATGTGGCACATATACACCATGGACTACTATGCAGCCATAAAAAATGATGAGTTCATGTCCTTTGCAGGGACATGGATGAAATTGGAAATCATCATTCTCAGTAAATTATCGCAAGAACAAAAAACCAAACACCACATATTCTCACTCATAGGTAGGAATTGAACAATGAGAACACATGGACACAGGAGGGGGAACATCACACTCTGGGGACTGTTATGGGGTGGGGGGAGGGGAGAGGGATAGCTTTAGGAGATATACCTAATGCTAAATGATGAGTTAATGGGTGCAGCACACAAGCATGGCACATATATACATATGTAACTAACTTGCACATTGTGCACATGTACTCTAAAACTTAAAGTATAATAATAATAAAATAAAATAAAATAAAAAAGCAAGAAAAGTATTTCCTAGGACTTTTCTAGGCATCTTATAACTTGAGATTTTACATTTAACTCTTTAATCCATCTTAAGTTAATTTTTGTATTTGGTGAAATATGGGGGTCTAGTTTTATTCTTCTGCATATGACTGGCCAGTTATCCCCGCATTATTTATTAAATAAAAGTCTTTTTCCCATTGCTTACTTTTGTCAACTTTGTTAAAGATGTGATGGTTGCAGGCATGTGGCCTTAGTTTCTAGTACTCTAGTCTGTTCCATTGGTCTATGTGTCTGTTTTTCCACCAGTGCCATGTTGTTTTGATAACTATAGTCTTCTAGGATAGTTTGAAGTCATGTAATATGATGTCTCTAGCCTATGTCTCTAGCCTTAGTATTGCTTTGGCTTGGCTATTCAGACTCCTTTTAGGTTCCATATAAATTTTAGATGTTTTCTATTTTGTGCAAAATGACATTAGTAGTTTGATAGGAAAAGCATTGAATCTGTAAATCGCTTTGAGCAGTATACTCATCTGCACGCAGATGATACTACAGTGTATGTTCTGTGGTTGATGAATGAAGTGTATTGTAATTCCAAATGGTCAAGCATTGAATTTAAATGCAGAATTTCTTTATTAGTTTTCTGCCTCAATGATCTGTCTAACACTGTCATTGGGGTGTGTTCCAATCTGTGTGCTCCAATGTTGGCTGCATATATATTTAGAATAGACATATATTGCATATATATTTAGAATATATTTAAAATACATTTTACTTACTGGTACTTCACTCACTTTTATTAGCTGGATGCCATCATGGGGGCAGTTTGCCTCCATTCTCCTTCCTGGGATCTGGTGTGTCCTTCATGATTCTGGTGGATTCCTATTCTTCTTCTTAAATTAAAGCTCAGAGAGTTGACATTTATGCACTATTGTGCTATGTCCATGTGGCTGAAGCATGCTTTAAGTCTCTAATCCATCATCTTGAAAAAAAATTTAATCTAAATTTGAGTTTATAAAAGCAAAATTGTATATTTTATTAAGTGGTTGTTATTCTCGAGCTAAAAGATTAATCTCATAAATACACATATTTATCTTCAGTGCCAGAACCAAATAATTAATAGGTGCCACCAACACGTATCAGCACAGTCATATTGTTTGTGTTTTACCGTCATTTTGGACACAAGAATAATAAGAAAAAAACTGACTTTAAGACACAATGGTATCCACATTATAAGAATTGTAGTAGTTGGCTCAAAAACTGGTGTCTTTCTCCAATGGGTCTCTGGAGGTAGTTGGAGCTAAGCTTGGACAGAAGAACACCAAGGTTCCCATGCATCGGAGTTGAGAGATAACAAAAGACACAGTTAAATTTGAACTTCAGATAAATAATAGATAAAAGTTAGTGTATTTATAAAGTATTGCATATACATATTGCATGCAAGTATGCAGATATCATAATAGAAAAGTATTATTTTTTTCAGAATCTTGAACTTAAGTATATTCTATATGACTATTTGCTGAATCTTGTAGCTCCACCATGAAAATAATAATGGGTCTTGGAAAATATGATATGTACCTGGAGAAGTGATATAGAATTAAAATTTATAGAATTCATATTGTTTGGTCAGAGCGTAAGAGAGTGTAATCAGGTCCTAATAAATACATTCAAAATGTAAAATCTTAATACAAACCTCAGCACTCACTGTAAGAAGTGACAATTAAGCTAGAGTGAATCCCCTGACCACTCTCAGAAGACACATAATGCATTTGAGACCAGCCTGGCCAACATGGCAAAACCACGTCTCTACTAAAAATATAAAAATTAGCCAGGTATGGTGGTGTGCACCTGCAATCCCAGCTACTTGAAAGGCTGAGTTAGGAGAATCACTTGAACACCAGAGGCAGAGGTTGCAGTGAACTGAGATCACACCATTGCACTCCAGCCTGGGCAACAAGAGCAAGACTGTGTCTCAAAAAAAAAAAAAAGAAGAAGAAGACAGATAATGCATAACAATGTATCATTATTATGACTTCACTTTAGGCTATTCTCCATAGAATAAGTTCCAAAGTATGTGATCATCATGGATAATGGTGGAGAAGATGACATAATTAATGAATCTTTATGTTATAGGTTATCTCTTAGGTATTAAATCTATGTTGGATAAAGAACATCTGAAGTAAGATTGCTATTATTTTGAAGATAATATCCAATTATTTTCTGCAAGTTGCATTTGGTCACTGTGAGACAACTTATGATGCGTGGAAAAATGCCAACTACCATGATTTACGTATAATTTATATTACAAAATTTTAGAAGAAAAACCAAACTCTTTGAGGGATTTTAAAGAGGCTTATTTTGAGCTTATATGAATGACTGTGGCCCAGTGAATCACAGGTTTAAGGAGTCCTGAGAAACTGCATGCAAAGCAGCTGAATTGCAGTTGATTTTCCATTTTAGAGAGGGAGAAATTACAGGGGAATACATAAATCAATACACAGAAGGTATACATTTGTTGGACCCAAAAAAGATTCTTTGAAAGATCAAGCCTTTCATTATATTGACTGAGCAAAAGATGGAAGACTAATTATTAAAATAATAAATGAAAGCAGAGCCATTACAACCAACTTTACAGAACTACAAAAGGATTACAGGAGTATACTGTGAACAACTGTCTAACAACAAATTAGGTGCCCTGGATGAAATGGATGAATCACTAGAAAGACACAAACTACCAAAGTGGCTCAAGAAGAAAGAGAAAATCTGAACAGATCTATAACCTAGGAGATTGAATTAGTAATCAAAAGCGATTAACAAAGAAACATTTATGACCAAATAGCTGCATTAACTGCTGAGTCAACCTAACATTTAAAGAAGAATTAATACCATTTCTTCTCAAACTCTTCTGACAAAATATATGAAGAAGGAATACTTGCTAATTCATTTTTTGATAACAGCATTATCCTTATACCAAAGCCAAAGAGAGCACAAAAGAGAGAACTACAGCACAATATCCCTTATGATATATAAGCAAAAATCTCAGCAAAATGCTAGCAATACTAGCAAAATACTAGCAGCAATACTGCGTAATCAAAGGATTGTAAACTATCACCCTTTGAGATTTATCCCCAAAATGCAAGTGTGGCTCAACATATAAAAAATCAATCAATGTAATATACTGTAACACTAAAATGAATAAGCATGTTATTGTTTCAATTGATGCAGAAAAAACATTGATGAAATACAACATCCTTCTATAATAAAAATACTCAGTAAACTAGGCATAGAAGGGATCTTCTGCAACATGACAATGGGATGTACAAAAACCCAACAGTTAATATCATGATCAATGATGAAACACTGAAAGCTGTTTTCCTAACATCTAGAACAAGACAAGGATGGTGCATTTGCCACTTCTATTCAATGTAGCACTGGCAGTTCTAGCCAGAGCAATTAGGCAAGACAAAGAAGTAAAAGGCATCTACATTAGAAATAAAAAATAGGTGTAAAATTATATCTACACATGATCTTATGGGTATAAAGCTCCAAACAAAACACAAAACCATTTATAACTAATAAAAGAGGCAGGATGCAAAACAAACATAGGCAAATGAGCTATATTTCTATTTAGTTGTAAATAACTATGAAAACATTTTAAAAATTCCATTTATAATAGCATCAAAGAATAAGTTATTCAGGCATAAATGTAACCATGGTGGTATACACAAAACTTTGCTGAAAAAAAATAAAGAGAGTGGAAATAACTGGAAAGACATTCTGTGTTCACGGGTTGTAAGACAATATTGTTAAGATGACAATACCATCTAAAGTATCTACAGATTCAATGCAATATCATCAAAATCCCAAAGGCATTTTTGCAGAAACAAAGAAACTCATTCTAAAATCATACAAAAATTCAAAGGATCTGACAGACAAAACAGTCTTGAAAAAGAACATTGGAAAATTCACATTTTTCAGTTTCACAGCCTACTACCAATCTACAGTCATCAAGAGAGTGTGGTACTGGCATAAGACCAATAGACTTTTAGACCAATACAATAGAACAGATTTGAGATCCTACAAATTAGTCCTCACATATATGGTCAATGACTGTTCAACAAGGTGGCCAAGTCTAGTCAAGAGAGGAAAGAACAGTCTCTTCAACAGCTGGATGTCAGTGCACAGGAGAGAAGTTAGACCCCTACCTTGCAGTATATACAAAAATTAATTCTAAATTAATAAAAGACTTAAATGTAAGGACTAAAAATATGTAACTCTTAGAAGAAAACACACAGTACATCTTTATGACCTTTGAGTTTTAAGTGTATTTTGAAATACGACAGAAAAGCACAGATAACAAAAGAAAATACATGTAAATTAGATTCAATCAAAATAAAAACCCTTTATGCATCAAAGGATACTATCAAGGGAGTGAAAAGACAACCCATAGTATGTGAGAAAATATGTATCTGCTAAAATCAATGTGTTTATCTGATAAAAGCTTAATATCCCACAACTCAACAACAGAATTTCTAAGATCCCAATTAAAAAAGAGGCAAAGGACTTGAATAGACATTTCTTCAAAGAAGATACACAAATGTCTAAGAAGGACAAGAAAAGATGCTAAACACCATTATTCATTAATAAAATGCAAGACAAAACCCAAATGAGATGCCACTTTGCATCCACTGGTAAGGCTTTCATAACAACGACACAGAAAATCAATGTTGCTAAGGAGGTGGAGAAATTGGAGCCCTCATGAACTGGCTGCTAGGAACAGAAAATGATGCACTTGCTGTGGAAAACAGTTTGGTGGTTCCTCAAAGAATCACACAGAGAAACAGGCGCCGCTGGCTTGCGGGTTCTCCTGGGCTGGCGCGGGACTTCCCGGAATCGCAGGCGCTCATCCCTTCCCTCCTGAGGGCCCCCCTGGCCGTGACTCCCGCCCCTCTTCTCCTCCGAAGAGAGATCGGGGCCGCTCCAGGGGCCGTCTGCAGCCACCGGGGATGGGGCTGAGGGTCGGTTCCTGCCCCGGTGCAGCCGCCTCCGGGCAGACCGCCTGACTTGGCCTCAGTCACGGCGACATCTAGCCCCGGTTCTGCGAGGCTGGGCGCGCCAGCCAGCTTGGAAGTTGCCCGGCGCCTGTAGCTGGGCGCCCAGGTGGTGGAGCATGGCCTGGGCGGCCTCTGGATCACGAGTGCCCCTGGCCTGAGAGCCC
Source organism: Homo sapiens (assembly GCF_000001405.40). Classification (NCBI taxonomy): domain Eukaryota; kingdom Metazoa; phylum Chordata; class Mammalia; order Primates; family Hominidae; genus Homo; species Homo sapiens. The sequence continues at coordinate 30,586,146 of NC_000020.11, read as the reverse complement.
GCCAGACCCTGCCCCCGCCCGGGTCCTCCTCTGCCAGAGCTCGAGACCTCCAGCCAGGGGTCCTCTACAGCCACCCGGGATGGGGCTGAGGGCCGGTTCCCGCCCCCGTGCAGCTGCTGCAGGGCAGACCGCCTGGCTTCGCCGCAGCCACAGGGACATCTGGCCCTGGTTCCGAGATGTGGGGAGTGCGGGCGGGCTCGGGAGTTGCCTGGAGGCTGCTGCCTGCACACAGAAGGCGGCTGCAGCTTAGGTGCCCAGGCGGGCTGGAGGTGCATGGCCTGGTCGGCCTTGGGATCGCCAGCGCGCCCAGCCTGAGGGCCCCCAGGCCGTGCCTCTCGCCCACTCCTCCATCTGAGGGAGATCGGGGCCGCTGGCACGGGCACTCGGCAGTCACCCCGAGTGGGGCTGAGCGGCGGGTTCTCAGTTCTGGCTCCTGTGCAGCCGCCGCCGCCGGGCAGAACGCCTGGCTTGGCCGCAGCCACTGGGATACCTGGCCCTGGTTCTGCGATGCTGGGAGCGCGAGCGGGCTCGGGGGTTGCTAGGCAGCTGCTGCCTGCACACAGAGGGCGACTGCAGCTTGGGCGCCCAGGCGGCGGAGCATGGTCTGGGTGTCGTCTGGAATGCGTGCGCGCCAGGCTTGAGGGCCCCCTGGTGGTGCCACCTGCCTCGCTGCTGGGCGCCTCCCTGCCCCTGCGCCTGCGCCGGCGCTGGGCCTTTGCGAGGGCTGAGCTGAGTTCTCCTCAGCACAGACCCGGAGAGCATCGCGAGGGCGGAGCTGAGTTCTCCTCTGCACAGACTTCGGAGATACAGCGAAGGCGGAGCAGCGTTCTCAGCACAGACCCGGGCGGGCGGGCCGGGAGCACCGCGAGGGCGGAGCTGCGTTCTGCTCAGCACAGACCTTGGGGGCACTGCCTCGCTTTGGTACAACTCGGGGCCGCATCGACGGTGAATAAAATCCTTCCTGTTTGCAGCCCTGAATAATCAGGGTCAGAGACCAGTTAGAGGGGTTCAGTGTGGAAAACGGGAAACCAAAATCCCCTCTGAATCCTGCCCACCGAGGTTCTCCCCAGCCAAGGCGAGGCGGCCGCAGTGCGAGATCCACACCGCAGCCTCAGAAGACAAATGCAGCATTCCTAATGCAGAAATGACACCCAAAATATGACACCCCCATTGCTCATGTAACAAGCACCTGTAATGCTAATGCACTGCCTCAATACAAAAATATTAATATAAGATCCGCAATCCCCTCGCTGCCGTGCAGTCCTAAGACAGCGATCATAATAATCAACATTGACATAGTCAATACCAACGTAGTAACGAACCTAGGGTTAAGGTTGGTGTTAGGGTTAGGGGTTAAGTTTAGGGTTAGGGTTTGGAGATAGCGGTTGGGGTCAGAGTTAGGGGTTAGGAGTCAACGTTTAGCGTTAGGGGTTAAGAGACGTTAGGGGTTAGGTATTAGGGGTTAGGGTTGGGTTAGGGTGAGGGTGAGGGTTGTGGTTAGGGGTTAGGGATTAGGGTTAAGTGTTAGGGTTAGGGGTTAGGGTTAGGGTCAGGGGTTAGGGGTCAGGGTTAGGGTTCAGGGTCAGGGTCAGGGGTCCCACTCTGTGGGTTGTGTATTTACTCTGCTGACTGTTCCCTTTGCCATGCAAAAGCTCTTTAGTTTAATTAAGTCCCAGATATTTATCTTTGTTTTTATTGCATTTGCATTTGGGTCCTTGGTCATGAAATCCTTGCCTTTGCCAATGTCTAGAAGGGTTTATCCAGTGTTATCTTCTAGAATTTTTATAGTTCAGAAAATAGGTTTAAGTTCTTAATCCATCTTGAGTAGATTTTTGTATAAGGTGAGAGATGAGAATGCAGTTTTATTCCCCTACATGTGGCTCGCCAATTATCCCAAAATCATGTGTTGAAAAGGGTGTCCTTTCCCCACTTTATGTTTTTGTTTACTTTGTCGAAGACCAGTTGGCTGATTATACTTGGGCATATGTCTAAACAAAACATGTATAGATCTGTATGCAGAAAATCATGAAACACTAAAGCAAGAAATTAAAGAACACTTAAATGAACGGACTTGTTATATTAATGAACTGGAAAACTCAATGTGAGAAAGACAGATCTACTGATTTCACATAATGTCAATGAAAATACCAGCTGAATTTTTGGGTAGATATAAATAAGCTGATTCTAAAATGCATGGAAAGGTATGCATTCCATTTATATGGAAAGGCAAAGGAACCAGAATAGCTAAAAACAATTTTGGAAAAAAAAGAATAAATTTGGAGGAATCAAACTATCCTAAGATTTACTATCAAGCTACAGTAAATATGACATCTTGGTACTGGTGAAGAGATACACACATAGATCAATTTAGCAGAACATAGTACAGAAATAAACCCAAACAAGTGGTGTTGGGATGGTTGGTCATTCACATGTAAAGAAATAAACCCCAACTTAACCATCGCATATTATTAAAAAGTTAACTCACAATGGATCACAGATTTAAGTGTAAAACCATAAAACGTCTAGAACAAGAGAAAATCTTCATGACCTGGGGCTAGGCAGACTTCTTAGATATGACATCAAAAGCACAATCCAAAAAAGATAACATCGATAAATCAGATGTCATTAAAATTAGAAATTTTGTTCTGCAAAAGACACTATTAAGAGAATGAAAAGACAAGCTACAGGCTGAGAAGAAATATCTGCAAATCACACATCCAAAAAAGGACTTATATCCAGAATATATAAATAGCTTTCAAAAATCAACAATAGGAAAAATATAACCCAATGTAAAACTGGGCAAAGCATGCATACAGACACTTCCGCAAAGAAGATATAAGGATGGCAAAGAAACAACAACAAAAAAGTAATATCTGCTGAACACCATTAGCCATTAGGGAAATGTAAATTAAACTCACAATGCTTAGAATGGCTAAAATAAAAAAATAAGGAAAATACTAAGTGCTGATGAAGATGTAAATAAACTGGAAATTTCTACATCATTAGTGAGAATGCAAAATGGTACAGATACTACAGTTTGACAGTTTCTTATAAAGTTAAACATGCATTTCCCATATGACCCAGTAAACATACTCCTGGCTTCGTATGCTACAGAAATAAGCACAAAAAAACTATACATGAATGTTTATATCAGCTCTATTGATAAATGCCAAAAAGTGGGGGGAAAAGTCTATCAACCAGTGAATAGATGAACTGTGATATATCCATAAAGTGGATACTTCCGTTAACCAGAAGTAAAAGAAATGAAGTATTGATACGTATAACAACTTGGGTGAATGTCAAGAGCAATTTGCTGAGTAAAAGAATCCGGTCTCAAATGTTACATATAGCATCAGTCCATTTATATGACATTCTCAAAAAGACAAAGCTGTAGAGTTTTAGTGCTTATGGTAGTTGCCAGTGGTTACAGGTATGGTGAGGGGTAATTATGAGGGAAGACATGAGCGGAGTTTTTGGGGTGATGGAAATGTTCTTTTTCTGACTACGGTAGTCGTTACACAAACTATGCCTGTGTTGTAATAGAATTGTACACCAAAAATAACAAAATAGTCTATTTTACTGTAGAAACATTTCTTAAAAACCTGTTTTAAAAACCTGGAAACACAATCTTAGTTATAAGGCATGGTCTATAAATGTTGTTATCATTTCTAACAATTTGTTTCCAGGGATTTTTTTTTAGATTATCGAAACATAACCAATCATTGCTCTTCAACTCTTCAATACTCTGAAATAGTTGGTGGATTATATAACCTACCAATATTAAGTGAGATTAAGGAATATATCCAGGGGTTATTTCTATTCTATTTTGATACCTAATTCCAATTCTACACTGCAAATCCTTGATGCCAGCTGTCTGTTGAGTAGCTACTCTAACCATAAACACTTAACAACTTTGTACGATGTCCTGGACACATAGAGAAAAATATGACATGGTCCCAGAAATAGAAGAACTTTCAGTGTATGGATTAGATAAAGATAAATAAGAAACGAAGAGCTATAAGACTTAGGCAAGGCAAACTCTATACTGGAACACAAAATTCAGCACCATTCTTCTCCAAGGTACAACTCTCTTGCGTCCTCTAGCGTCCTCAAGTAAGGACCATTCTGTAAGCTGCAACGAATGAAAACCTTAGAGTAGCTGCTGGCATTTCCCTTTCACGGTCTTGGATATAAGCAATTTATGATCATCAATGTTTGACAATTATGACAATCAATCAAACAATATTATACTAAGTCGATGTTAGAGATTTGGTTTAAAATACTGAAACCAAAAAAAAAGGGGCATGGAGTTGATCCGAGACAGGCAAATGTTAACAAAGGTTGAAGCTGGGTGATGCTTCCACAGAATTATTTTAGTCATATTACATTTGGCTATGCTTATAAATTTCCATAGTAAAAACTTAAGGGAAAAATAAAAGCTATGAAGCCTATTTGGTTAAACGTGGGTAAAAATCCAAAAAGAAGTCTACTGGAAGAGGAAAACATTGAATTAATATTGTTATTGTTATATCTTGTGGTTAGCATAATTAATTTTTTTCTTTTACTCTTTCTATACTTTCTTAATCTTTTACAATATGCAATCATTTATATAATCAGAATATGAACGTAAATATTTCAAATAAAATTAAATTACAGATAACTAAAAAAAATAAAAAATTCAAAGCTCATTAACCTCGCTTTTACGGTCCTCTAGAAAAATCCAAACATGTCTTCTGAAGCTGACACTAAACACATCAAGAACTAAGGCAATGGATGGAAACTATCTGAATTCAAATCTCAGCTCAGGCTCTTACCACCTGGGTGACCTAAAGATAAACCATCTATGCTGTGTGTCTCTTTGCTTTTCTTTAAGATGGGAATGGTGGCACCCAACCCAGCCTCAAAGGGCTCTTGTGAGGATTACATATGTTAATTCATATCAAACTCTTAGAATGATCAGCACTCAATGTTTAAATACTATCTTTATTACTCATGCCCAAGTTCTCCCTCATCCGTTTCTGCATTTATTGAACAAATATCAGGGCATCTTCGAGCAGAATTTGCCAATGAATGAAGGAAATATCGTCTCCCCTGGGAAGAAAGGATGATAAGTACTACTCAGGTGAGACTCCGCTGCCAAGTGCCAAAGGGTTATTCCCTCCTTCTCCCTGAAGCCTTTTTCAAGAAGTCAAGGCTAAAGAAGGAAAGGAGGATGGGAGAAATCAGAACTCCTGCATGAATTACAGTGGACTGCCCAGACAGCCCGGAGTGATCCTCTCCTAAAGAAAAATCTCTCAGTGATCAGAAAAGGGCCAGGGATACTCTGCAGCTGGAGCTCTGACCCCATCCTGGGCTCACAGAAGCTTTCAGGGAACTGAGTCCTTCTCAGAAAATTAAAAAGTGCTAATAACAAGAGACCCATCTTCTACCATCTGTCAGGCTCTGTTCCAAGCCTTTTTATTTAACTCTCAAAAGAACTCCATTAGATAGATACTAGTACCATTTTAAAGAAAAAGAAACATAGGCAGAGAGATTAAGATACTCGCCTTTTATTATACTGCTAGGAAATGGCAGAGCTGGCTGATGGTCAGGGGAAAGGGCTGGGGGAGTACAGAACCCAGGAGATCCCCAGTCCCTGAGATGTAGGATCCCGGACCCCCTGCGCTAAGTGGAGATGCGCCAGCTGCCCCACACTGGAGAAGGCTCAAAGAAAACAAATCCCACCCTTCGCCGCAGGTGGATTCTCCTCCCCTAGGGCTACTGTCCAGTTGCTACTGGCCTCCAGCAAAACGAACATCAGTATGGACGGAAGGAGCAGGACGCAGGGCGGGGAGGGTCACCTTTCTGGGAGGAAAGAAGGCCGCGGCCTAGCGTACCTTGGGCGGAAGTGGCTCTCCCTACTGAGACCTCCTGGACTACGCTTCCCAGAATTCTCGACGGGATCAGGGAGACGGCCTCAGCCTCCTAGAGCGGAAGTTACACGACTACACGGGGCTCCCAAACTACACTTCCCAGAATTCCTAGAAAAACTCTCCACTCTCTGCCTGCCTAGGACGCAAGTGCAGGGTGCCAAGCGGAGAGCCTGGATCATATTTCACATGTGCCTGTCCCAGAGGAATTCCTTAACTCTCCCTTCCTGGAACCGAAATGCTTCCAAAGACAGAGAGCTCCTATATATATTTCTCTGTTTTCCCCAGAGGACCGTGCATGAAAGGCGCCTTTCCTGGCGCGTGTGTCTCTGACCCTGTGGATCTTCTGGACAATTCCCGGAATTTCTTGCAGGGCAGCACTTCCCCTTAAGTCGTCTCTTTCTCGTTTGGATAGTCAGTATTTATATAGTCACTATTCTCTTTTGGTTAGCCATCTAATTTTATACTGCTAGTCAAGCTCTACTCCCTTCCCCCTAGAGTTTGAATTTATTTTTCTTCAAACGCTACACAAACCCAAATAAACTCAACCAAAGCGGACTTTACCTACCTTCCTACCTACCTACCAAGAAAATATCCCACAAAGGAGAGAACGGAGAAGCTTGCAATACAGGAAGAAAAAAAAAGAATTACAGAATGGAAGGGATGTGTGCGCTAAAAATGCAGGTACTTAAAGGAAATTGGGCTGATTTGTACTGGACACCGAATTTGAGGAATACAGGATCTCAACCTTTCTTTGACTGGATTACTTTTTTATTCCATTTTGGTGTGGACGCGTCTGAAACTGATAGTGCTGCTGCTACCTACCATAATGTGTTTGTTGCAAGATCCACAAGAACGTGGATGCCAAGAATCCACAAAAAAAAAACAGATGCAACCGTTGATGAGGCCATAAGCAGAAACAGTAAGTGGTTCCCACGTTTCCTCTGCTTTAACTACTGATGATGAAATGCAAGTCATAAGGCAAATAGAAGGGCTGTACTGATACAGACAAAATGTTATTATTATGGGAAGGGATAACTCCCTTGTAAAACCTTGAAATGTTTTTCTTCTTTGAGAAAAATCTATCACCTATTTTCACCCTGCTCTTGATATAGCAAATATTGTAAGTTGTCTTATGGAGGATGACTCAGGGAAGACGGTGAATGGGTTCACTCAATCCAGAAAAGGAAGAGGAAAATAAAAAGACATAACGACCAATCTGTGAAAACGCTCAGTGGCTTAAAAGACACTATTAAGAGATGAAACTATTTGATTCTTTATTTAACTCCTTTCCAAGGAAATGTTTTTGAAAATCCATACGGTTTACATATTAAAGAGGATCAATCTGATAATAGGTGATTTTTTTGAAAAAATGAAAATTTAAAAATAAAAGGGACAGAATAATATTTTGTATACTTCCACTTCTAGTAATAATAAAATGAGTGATTTGGAACAAACATGTAGCAGAGGAAAGGTGAGCAAACTTTTTAAATGTCAAAAGACATCAAAAGACAAGATAATGGAGAAATGGTGGGCCAAAATTCAGAAACAGTTGGGAGAGTCATGCATTTGGGGCTACTTTTCTCCTGGGGATGATGGTCTAGTCTAGGATCTGAAAAGCCTAGAATCTCTGCAGCACTTTTGACACCTATATGAAGCTGGGGGAAAGAAAGATTCTAGCAAAAATTAAAATGCACATCTTTTCAGGCGCACATAAGATTTGTACAAATGAGTAAAATGATATGGGATTTCAAAATACTGAAATACTATGTTTTCGAATACAGTGAAATTTGGCTAGAAATCAATAAAAATACAACTAAATGATTCATGTGTGCATTTAATAAATATTGTCTCATCTCCAAACCCACCATTCTTCACTCTGCTTTATGGGGCTGGAATGGGGGAGTCTGCAGCCAATCTTTCCCGACCTCTACACCCCCAATCTGGTTCTGTGTTCGGCAACTATTAGCAGAAGAGTATAGGGGTGGTGGGGGCAGGGAGATATACTGTATCCTGTGCCTGCCAGCCAGCAGTACTTTTTCTTGTAGCAACTGCCTAATTTTCAGTTTTTCTAACACTTGAATACCTATTTCATCATGGCTCTTTATAAACATTATTAAACAGCTTCCCAAAGACTGATCCTTAGATGTCTAAGTGCTAAAATTGCAGGGCCCTGTTTCTGAGCTCAGAGACAGCAGAGCCAGCTGAACACTGGCCTCTCCTTAGAGGTCTGAGTTTCAGGTGAGCATGACCTTCCTCCAAGCTTCTAAGTTTTAGTAATTCCTGTCTCTTCACTTTGTTTCCTCAGACCTCAGGTGGTTGCTGCTTGCTGCAGTTGCTACTTCCTGCAGTTGCTACTTCCATCATATATTAGAGTTTTTTTGTTTTTTTTTTTGACATAGTCTCGCTCAGTTCCCCGGGCTGAAGTGCAGTAGTGCCATCTCGGCTCACTGGAACCCCTGCGTCTCGGCTCCAAGCAATTCTCCTGCCTCAGCCTCCCAAGTAGCTGGGATTACAGGCATGCACCACCACTCCCAGCTAATTTTTGTGTTATCAGTAGAGATGGGGTTTCACCATGTTTGCCAGGCTGGTCTCAAGACCTCCTGACCTCGTGATCCACCCGCCTCAGCCTCCCAAAGTGCTGGGATTACAGGCGTGAGCCACAGCATCTGGCCCAGAGTTCTTTTTCTGCTCTTTCAGAAATCTAGCTACCAACTCTACAATATGCTAATTTTTCTTTTCAAATAATTGGTAAGGTTTCTATCTTCTAGGTGGACCCTAAATTATAAACTTGTTTGGAAATTAAACCACTTTTAAGTAATCCATAGATAAAAGAGTATGGCATTGAAATCTGGTGTCATCAGTGAATTCCACCAAATATTTAAAGAAGAAACCATGTTCATCTCAAAATTATTCCTCAGAATAACAAAATAGGAAACACTTTCCAACTAACTTTATGAGGCCACTATAATAACACTGACAAAATTTGTGAGAGGCTTCATTACAATAGAAAATGACAGGTCTGGCCGGGCACGGTGGCTCATGCCTGTAATCCCAGCACTTTGGGGGGCTAAGGCGAGCAGATCATGAGATCAGGAGATCATGAGATCAGGAGATCCAGACCATTCTGGCAAACACCAACACAGTGAAACCCCGTTTCTACTAAAAATACAAAAAAAAAAAAAAAAAAAAAAAGCCAGGTATGGAGGCACGCGCCTGTATTCCCAGCTACTTGGGAGGCTGAGGCAAGAGAATCACTTGAACCTGGGAGGTGGAGATTGCAGTGAGCTGAGATCGTGCCACTGCACTCCAGCCTGGGTGACAGAGTGAGACTCCATCTCAAGAAAAAAAAAAAAAAAAAGAAAAGAAAAAAGAAAGAAAAAGAAAATGACAGGTCTATCTCATCATAAATATACTTTCAAAAATCCTAAACAAAATGTTGCCAATCATATATAAAAGGGTAACACATCATGACCTAGGTATCAGAAACAGAAAAAAAAAAGTTTGATTAATCACCCATTTGTCATAAGAAAATTTAGGCAACTAAGCAATAGTAAAGATCTACAAAAATGGCAACAAATACCAAAAGGAATAGTGAAATATTGAAAACATTTCCTCTACGATGGGGAACAAAATAATGATGTCCACTCCAACCATTTCTACTAAATACCACATTTGCTCCTTTATCCTGCAATCTTGCCAACTAATCTAATTAATTTTAATATTTTATGTGTAGATCTTTTGAATTTTATATGCATGCTCATGTTGACTTCAGATCTGCAACAAATGTGGCACTGCAGCACCATGGGAACAGGGCAAATATTCAACACATGTTGCTGTTAAATTGAATATTGTGAAATAAAACTGAAATTGACCTATACCTCCCACTACATGCAACAATCTAAGGCTGGTGGATTGTAGAGCACAATTTGAAAAGCATTTCTTATGACACTTAAATCTACTCAGTGTATAAACCCATAAGAAATGTGTACCAAAATACACATATAAGAATGTTCATAGCAGGATCATTCATCACAATGACATACTGAGAATACTTCAGATGTCTATCGATGATAGTATGGATAAATATTTTTTGTTATTTACACAAGGTAAGAGCAAGGACATTGAACAAACTTTAGCTGTACATGCAATACCATGATGACTCCCATAAATATGTTGAGCAAAATAACTAGACAAACCCAGTAGATGCAGCGTGATTCCACTTGTTCATTAGACATGCAAAATTCATCAGTAGGATGATTTTGGACAATTAAATAGTAAAAATATAAAGAAAAGCAAGGGAACCTTAAAACTTAGGGTAGCGGTTTCTTTTCCTGGGGAAGAAAGCATCATGATGCTGTGAGAGTGGGGTGTTTGCAATTCTACCATGCTCCATTTTTGGTTGTGAGTGGTGATTATACAGCTGTTCATTTTATGTTCATACTTTCACATGTATATTTATGATTTGGACACTTTTCTGAATGTAAGTGATATTTCAATCTGTAAAAATCAATGATATATGACCAACAAACTATGGTACATCAATACAATAGAGTATTATTCAGCCATAAAAAGAAATGAGATATGAAGTTATGAAAACACATAGAATAACCTTAAATTCATATTGTTAATGGAAAGAAGCCAGTCTGTCAAAGCTACATACTGTAATTCAACTATATGATAATCTGGAAAAGGCAAAACTAAAGGTCAGTAAAGTGATCAGTGGTTGTTAGAGGTTCAGAGAGATTAATTGGTAGAGTACAGGGTATTTTTAAGCAGTGACACTATTCTGTATGATATGGTATGGTGGATATAGGATGTTATGCTTTGTCAAAACCCATGGAATGTACAACACAAAGAGTAAGCCCTAATGTCAACCACAGACTTTAGTTAATAATAATGTGTCGATATTGGTTCATTAGTTGTAACAAATATGCCACACACATGCAAGATGCAAACAATAGGAGAAACTGGGCAGGGGAAAGGAGAGCATATGGGAAATATTAATACTTTTTCTGCAATTTTTCTGTAACCCTAAAACTGCTCTTAAAATAAAGTATTTTTTAAAAAATCAATGATATGTTTCAAAGGAAACTGAATATATGGCATAGAACTTTTTTCAGAACTTAGAGGGAAGGACTAAAAATAATGAGAAACTCTATAATGGATATGAACATATTGATCAGGTGTATCTTATAAGCTAATGAGAAAAAATGAAGATTAGAGAAGGAAGCAGATTGTAATAAATAAATCATTAAGAGAGAATAAACAATTTATCCAAATGGGCAAAATCACATATTGGAAGGAGGAGAAGAAGATGGAGGAGAAGTGGGTGGAAGGCCAGGGTGTGTAGGAGGAGAAGTAGGAGAGGAAGAGTAAGAGAAAAAGGAGGAAGAGACTCCTAGAGATGCACTTGTAGACATTGAAAATTTTTTTTAATGGCAAGGCTGAAGACTAAAGAATTGAGTCAATTTCAAAGGAATGAAAAAATAAGCTTTTCATTTTAATTATTGTCTGCAACATTAAAAGTAGTAATAAAATATAAAAATAATCTCTGGGGTTTTGAAATGAAAAGATTGATCCTTCTATGGTCAGAGAATGTTTTGTTCATGTGCACTATTCTTGGCATACAAGATTCAGTTGTGAATCACTTCTAAATTCTTTCTGGAAAATATTCTTCAAGACATATTACAGACCTTTGGCAACAACACAGATAAAGCTTCCACAGACCGTCTTCCTAGTTTATTTACATAGAAATACTGAATAAAATGTGAACATAAAACTATCATTTATTTGAATAGGGGAATGTTTGACGGCATACATATTAAAAATAGAAAGAAAAAAACAAACAGATATTATTTATTTGTTCCATTATATCCCCCACTACCCACTCTCATTTTCTCCCCTGTAGCATCAGTAGCCAGGTCGATCTGTTTAATGTGTGCCTGTTGCTGGTATGTCTTTTTGGCAAATGTATGGAATTTCGGATGCATATATATATATCTTGTGTTATAAAACTCTGTTAAAATTTTTCACTCAAAACTAGGTTTTTCTCAATATTTTACTAAAAAAAATTTTTTTGAGACAGGGTCTTACCTTGTCACCTAGGCTAGAGTGCAGTGGCATGATCACAGTTCACTGCAGCCTTGACCACCTGGGCTGAAGCCATCTTCCCACCTCAGCCTCCAAAGTAGGTGGGACTATAGGTGTGCCCAACCACACCTGGCTATTTTTTTTTTTTTTTTTTTTTTGCTAAGATCGGGTCCCACTATGTTGCCCAGGCTGGTCTCAAACTCCTGGCTTCAAGTGATCCTCCCACCTTGACCTCCCAAAGTGCTGGCATTATAGGCAGGAGCCACTGTGCCTAGCTCTGAAATTTTATACCATAAAGAAGAGTTGGAAGAATTATACAGTAGTCACCCATATATTCTCAGCTTAAATTCTAAAATTAGCAACATTTACATCTTAGTCATCCATCTAGCTATCTTACTTATTACTTAGCCATCAGAACATTAGCATTACCCGACAGATTCCCCCATGACACTTACCAGTCAATCTCTAACCCCTTCCCCCAGTGGCAACCACTGTTCCACTTTTTCACCATAAATTTTACTAATTTTAGAATATGAAATATATGGAACCATACGGTAAGAACTCTTCTGCATTACAATTCTCTGAATATAGTGTTTTTCAGATCCATCCATGTTGATGCACATATCAGTTATTTGATCCTTTTTATTACTGAGTGATGTTCTATTGCATGAATATATGTCTTTGGAAACTTGCTTACATTTTAATTGTCTAAATATTTTTATGAATAAAGATCCTGCAGCATACTTATAAAAGTATTTTTGTGGTCATATGCTTTCTTTTCTCTGGAATAAATATCTATGATTAGAATTGCTTGGTGTGTTTAACTGCTTAAGAAAACACCAGATCATCTCCCAAAAGATTAATTTTACACTGTCTCCCAAAATATATGCAATTTCTGATTGTTTTGAATCCTAATAAGCATTTGCTGTTATTAATATTTCTTTTTTGAGATGGAGTTTCACTCTTGTCATGCAGGCTGGAGTGCAGTGGCATGATCTTGGCTCACTGCAACCTCTGCCTCCTGGGTTCAAGCGATCCTCCTGCCTCAGCCTCCTGAGTAGCTGGGATTACAGGCACCTGCCACCATGCCTGGCTAATTTTTGTATTTTTAGTAGAGATGGGGTTTCTCCATGTTGGCCAGGCTGGTCTCGAACTCCTGACCTTGGATGATCCGCCCACCTCGGCCTCCCAAAGTACTGGGATTACAGGTGTGAGCCACCGCGGCTGGCCTGCTATCACTATTTTTAATATCTGCCATTCTGGTGGTTGTGTAGTTGCATCTCTCTGCAGTTTCCATTTGCTTTTTCCTGATGACCAATAATGTCACACTTCTTCACAGGCTATATTAACAATTTGTATGTCTTCCTTTGTAAAGTAACTGTTCAAATTTTGCCCATTATAATTGAGATGTTGGGCTCTTTAATATTGAATTGTACAAGTCTTTATACATTCTGGGTGTCAGTCAGTCTGAAATTTGGGCAGAGTTTAATGTAGAATAAGGGGCAATTCTTTGCTTGACATCTTTTTCCCAGGATTTCTTCCCTCACTTTCCAGGTCCTGTGGTCACCTCAGTCTCTGTCATCTAGGTCTTCATGCCAGTGGATACTACAGAAGCATCCACAGATTCAATGAAACAGGGATCAAAAATATTCAGAAAAAAATACAAATTAACAACACAACAATAAAAATAACACAAATAAAAAATGCAATATAGTATGACAACTATTTACAGGGCATTTTTATTGTGTAGGGATAGAAATAATTTGAAGTATGCAGGGTGATATGAAAAGGTTACATGAGAATATTATGGCCATTTTACATAACAGACTTGAGCATCCACGGATTTTGATTTCCATAAGGGTCCCTGAACCAATTCCCCACCGATACCAAGGTACTACTGTATTCAGGATTTTTTCACTTAGTTCATGAAGGATATTCATCTGTAGTTTTCTTTCCTTGTAATTTCTTTGTCTTGTTTGGTATTATCAGATTAACGCTGGCCTCATGAGACAAGCTGGGGGTGGGTGGGTGTTCCCTTCTCTTTTTGTTTCTGGGTTTATTTAAAATTCACATCTTTACTCTTTAAATGTTTAGTAGAATCCACCAATGAATTCATCTCAATATTGGTTTTTTTATTGTTGTTGTTGGAAGGCTTTATCTATTAAATCAGTTTTGAAATATATATCAGGCCAGGCAAGTGCAGTGTGTCAAGCCTGTAATCCCAGCACTTTGGGAGGCCAAGGTGGGCAGAGCGCTTGAGCCCAGGAGTTCAAGACCAGCCCAGGCAACATGGTAAAAACCCATCTCTACAAAAGATAGAAAAAATTAACTGTGCATATATATATGTGTGTGTGTGTGTGTGTGTAAAAATTGTATGTATGCACACACATACATACACGCAAGTATCTAGGTTATCCATTCTTTCTGAGTGAGCTTTGGTAGTTTGTGCCTTTCAAGCAATATTCCATGTCATGTAAATTGATGAATTTATGGACAAAGAGTTGTTTGTAATGTTCCCTTATAATCCTTTTAGTATCTGCAAAATTTGTAATAACGTTCCCTCCCTCCTGATTTTTGTTTTCTTCTTTTTCCCTGTGGGTGAGTCAGTTGAAAGGTTTATAAACTATATTGATCTTCTCAAAGAATAAGGTTATGATTTTGTTGATTTTTAAAGATTGTTTTTCTGTTTCCAATTTCATTGACTTATGTAGCTGCCACAAAACTTCACTCTATCCTCTCCAGGACCCAGCTGGGCTCAAGAATTAAATTAGCATAACACAGATTAACAGAACAGCAGGCAAATTTATTTAATACAAGTCTTACATGTGACCAGAGCCTTCATTACAAAATGAAGCTCCAAAGAAAAAGTCAGTTATGTATACACTGTAGTGAACAAAGAATAGTAAGTTGTTAAGAAGCAATTGGGCCAGGCCTGGTGGCTCATGCTTGTAATCCCAGCACTTTGGGAGACAGAGGCAGGAGGATAGCCTGTAGCCAGGAGTTTGAGACCATCCTGGTCAACGCAGTAAGACCGTGTCTCTACAAAATAAAAATAAATTAATTTTTTTTAAAAAAAGAAGCAACTAAATCATGCAGACAGGCTTGAAAGATGTTATTTTAAGGTGGTCTGTACAGAATTCTTTTGGGCTTGACTTCTCATTTTGAGGAAAAGTATATTGCTCCTTTTTTTCCAGTATAAGGAGTGGATCTTCTTTCCTCCTTCCCACCCTCCCTCCTTCCTTCCTACCTTTTCCCACAGATGTGCTAGCAGAATGTGCTAATTCGTAAATATCTTCTGCCCTGAGAAGAGAGATGACACAGCAAGAAGAAGGATGCTAAGTCATACTCAGTTAAGATTCTGCTGCTAGGAGCCAAAGAGTCATTCTTTCCTCATTCCTGTGACCATCTGCGAGAAACCAGAACTATGTCTCCCTCCTGCACGAATCACAGAGGACATCCCCATACAATAGCCTGGAGTGATTCCCGCCCCACCCCCCACCCCCATCCCCACACCCCCACCCCCACTTTTTTAAAAAGGGAATCCAGGAATCGTCCTGCTTCCTGTAAGGATCAGAAAGAAGGGGCAAAATAGCACTGCAGGTGGAACTCTGATCCCTTCCCAGGCTCACAGAAGCTTTTAGGTAACTGGGGCTTCTCGGGAAATTAAAAGAAAATTAATAAAATGAACCACACTTACCACCTTTTACTTGTGACTATCTCATTTAATTCTCCACTGAACTGCATCGGTTTGGTACTTCTATTCCCCTCATGTTACATAAAAGGAATGCTAGGCACATACAGTTTGAATTACTTCCCAATTTCACACCCCTAGAAGGTGGCAGAACTGCCTGGTCAGTCCTGGAGTAGGAACAGAGCGCACAAAATACAAGAGATTCTCAACCCGCCAAGACTAAATTCTGCAAACTCGACAAAGGGTCACTCACCTGGGGCCCAACCCCATCTTCCACTGCTAGCCACGGATGCTCTTCTTGAAGACAAGGAGGGCCACCGCCAGGCTAAACGAAACATTGCTGTCTCAGGCCTCACTCAACTTCCTGAAACGAATGATGACCTCACTTTCATGGAGCAGAAGTGACTGTACTTACCCACAGTTCCTGGATTATAACCCCAGAATCCCCAATGAGATAATCGTCACAGCCACGCCCTCCTGTAGCAGAAGCCTGGCCGCCTACACAGAGCTCCAAGGTTACTGCTCCCAGAATCCTCGCAAAGAATTGGCAATGTCGTTGCCTTTCTCTGGCGGAGGGCTGGCTACTACCGTTTGAATTTGGACTGTATGTCACACAATTCTAGAGCAGAATGCAAACTCAGCACTGTCTTCTTTAAACCAAAATGTCTCCAAAAACAGGATTCTAATTTATACTTAATATTTCCCCCAGAAGCCCAATCATTAAAGCCACCTTTCCTGGAACAGAAGTGGTTTTGACGCCGTGAATCCTTTGGACCAGTTTCCAGAATCCTCTTCAGGTAGCGCTTCTCACCAGCGTTTCCCTTTTTATTTTGGATAACTAGGTTCAGTCCGAATCATTCTATCTCACTGGTCAAGCTCAGCCTTCTTTTTCCTTATTCTCATTTTTTTTCTTTCACATGTGACAAAACAAGTGTATTTGAACGCCACTCCCACCCTGTCCCCCACCCAATTCCCTTTAGTAGAGAACACAGTTTGAAATGAAAAGGAGGCATAAATTATAAAGGGGAAGATATGTGTGAGCTAAAAATGCAGAACTTAGAAACGGGGCACGAATGTAAGGAACACAAGATCTCAAACCTACTTTGACTGGATTTTCTACTTTAATCCATGTGTGCTGGATGCATCTAGAACTCTTGGCGGTGTTATCAGATATAAGCTATTCATTCCATGATAAGACCCACAAGAAGGTCATGCAAAGTTTATTAAAGTATAAAGCAGAAGCAGCAAAAGCTTTTGGGTGTTCCTTGACTTTAATTGTTCATTATAAAACATGGCTCATGAAGTGAATGAAAGGAGGTGTGTTCATGTGGAGGAATTATTATAATATGAAAAGAGATAAATATATAAAAATTTGAAATTTCTTTTTGTTCAAGTTCAAATATCACATCACCCACTTCCACCCTATTCTTATTATCATAAATACAATAATAACTGTATTTCATTCAGGTGAGTCAATTGACAGTTGGACGCAAATCCAGAAAATCCAACAAATAAAAATACACGAAGGTTCTGCTTACCACTTTTCTTCTGGACAAGAACTAAACATTTTCATACCTTTATATTATGAAAAATTTCAAACATTAATAGAAGTAAAGAGTGAAGTATTCCATCACCTCATCACCGAGATTCAGCAATTTTCAACATGTGCCACACTTCCTTTATCTATCAATATTGTCTTTCTGCCCTTTTGTTATTGTAATTTTAAAACAAAATCATGACACTGTATTATTTTCCCCCTAAACACTCCCATGCATACTTCAAAGAATTACATTTTCTAATATAACAAAAATACAACTATCACACTGAAGAAAGTTAATAATTCCTTAATATTATTTTATACCCTACAAAACGAAACTTCAAAATTTCCAGTCATCTCAAAAATACCCATTCTTTGCATGTGATTGTTTTCTCTCTTGAGTCTCTTTGAATATGGAAGAGTATCCCCCCTTTGATCCACTTTAAATTCATGCTTTTGGCCTATAGAAGACATCAGTTCAGTTGTCAAGTAAGATGTCCCACATTCTGGATTTTTAAAAATGTTTCATTATGCTGCCATTTAACATTTTCTTGAATATCTTTTGTGGCTCTGGTAAACTACAATTTAGATTTAGAGAGCAGATGAGATTAAGGTTCATCGTTTTCGGCAAGAATACTTCTCCATAGGTAGATTTATTTTGGCCTTGTTCAGTAGCATCACCTCCTTAGTGCAGATCACAGCACATTCTTGAATATTACTGTTTCCTACAGCACCTAAGATACTACACCTCAATCATGCACACAAATGTCCATTAGAAGAAGAACAAGGTTCAAAGAGTTTGAGGGAAAGGGTGAAGATTTTAAGAATCAAAATTTTTTCTCTTTCAATTGCTAATCTCACCCTATTAAGCATCCATAGTCTTGCAAAATGTGAAAGAAAAATAAATCTCGGGACCCCCAAATCACTAAGCCAGAGGGAAAAGTCAAGCTGGGAACTGTGTCAGGCAAACATCCCATTTTATTACTTAATAAGATAGCTATAAAGAAGAAAAAGCTACATACCTCCTTCACAATTTGTCAACAAGGAAATTCCCTGTGGGCCTGAACATCTTTATCCAAAAGCATTTCTGTTGAATTTCACCCTGGTAATGTAAATTGATAGCTTATCTTCACAGGTGTGGGACAAAGGACAGACAGAACTCAAAGTCATTCCTCTGTTCACCTGAAACAAATGCATATCTGATTGCTTCCTGTTACCTATTGTTTCTGTAATAATGCATATTCACTAAGCAACATTAAGACCTAAGTCACTATTCGTCTACCCACCTCTCACGTGTGAGTTTTGTATTCAGTAAAAGCCTAATCAGAGCCTCAAAATAATGCCACTGTTTGTCTCTTATCTACCTATGATGTAGAAGCTCCCACTCCCATTTGAGATTGTCCTGCCTTTCTGGACTTAAGCAATGTATAACTTAAACATACTGTTTGATGCCTGATTTCTCCTAAAATGTATAAAATCGAGCTGTGCCCTGACCACTTTGGGCACATGTCGTCAGGACCTCCTAAGGCTGTGTCACAGGTGCGTACTTAACCTTGGCAAACTAAATGTTCTAAATGGATTGAGACCTGTCTCACATACTTTTGGGTTCACAAAAGTATGCTTTAGTGAACACCCATGTCCATTTTTTCTTGATCTTTAAATGAGTGCTACCATAATATAAATTCCTTGAATGGGACCCTTGAATCTAAGAGTATGCACAGTGCATAGAGTCATATTACCAACCCTATCTCCAAACAAGTGATCTGACTGACTGAGCCAATACTATTTGGGAGCCTTTTCCCCAAAAATAGATGCTATGAATTGAAATATCCCCTTTCATGGCATGTTTAAAATACTTCTACCATTGCACATACCGAGTTATCAAAGTTATCTGATCTCTGATCTCTGCACCTCTAAAGCAATGCTTCCCAGCCAAGGTCACATACACTGAGAAAGTGTCTCACATATAACTTTTAAGTGATAACTGATACCAAATCTGATGTTATTTAAAAACAAAAACAGAGGCAAGTCAATATTCCTCACATAATAGCATCACTGGTGCCTGAACTGAAGTTTGCTGTCTAGAGTAGGAGACCAAAAGATGATTTTAAAGCTGCTGGGCCAGGTAATATACTTAACCTGTAGCCTTTGGGACATATGCTATTGACTGGCTCACAGAGCATCCATTCATAATCCCTTTGACCCTGCATGTCTCTTCTATAAAATAATGGGGGAAAATCAAAATACTTTCTTAATGTTCCTTAAGTCTACGGTTGTCATAGGACAATATTTTGAACAATTAGATGTAAGTGTAAGTCTTCTGTTTATACTAGAAAGAAGAGAAAAGATATGGTTGGTATTGAGGATATGAGATGAATAAGGGATATTGAAAATGCAATAGGATCAATGAATTGTAGAAATTGATGAAGTCAATATCACAGTAAACCACAGGAAGATCTGGCAAGAGAATATGTAGAGCAGAGTGTAATGCCTTAAATGGAGACTATGGAGGGATTGCAGCTATTGCTAATTTAAGGCCTATAGTATGACCATGGAAATGAGTACCCCAAGTAGGATAGACAAAAACGATGAACAGAGGCATGGAAGTCAGCATATATCTCTTAAATTGTAAAACATTTCATATATATATAAAATTATGAGAATAATTTTTAAACACATCCCAGATGCCCAGGTTTAACAAGTGCACATTCACTCAATTCAATACAACACAATCATTAAAGATGAACTTTATGAAGAATGTGGGAAACAGCAAAATTAACTTATGGTATATTACTAACTGAAATACTAATTTAAAATTTACACATTATTTAATAAAAAGCAAATATCTATATATGTATAAAATAAACCAAAATGAAAATGTTTACATGAGGGTGGTGCTAGCAGGATTATAGTAGTCCTAACTTAGTTCTGAACTTACTTGTAATGAGGTCCTGCCACTTAAAAAAAATAAAGTTCCAGACACTTTTAAAAAGTCACATTTATTGAAGTGCAATGTACATACATTATAAAGTCTACTATTGTTAAGTGTATAGTTCAATGAGTTTTAACAAATATGTACAGACATGTAACTACCAACACGATCAAGTTACACAATATTTCCAACGCCACAAAAACTTCCCTAGGAAGCGGCAATGCTGATTGGTGGGTCCAACAGAAGGGCTACGGGAGTACAGGACCCAAGAAACCATCAAACCCAATGATGCAAGACCCTGCCTCATTCCCCAACCCGGGATTCAGGAACATCCCCTAACACTAGAAAGCTCTACTGAGTCGAGGGAAACGCAAACACTTCCAATCCTAATCCTCCGCCGGCTGCCACTTTTCCTCCTCAAGACAGAGGGCCTTGACCATCTTTGGTCCCTCATCCAGGCTGAGGAGGCGCAGAAGCGTCGCTGGGGCTCAAGTCTCACATGCAGCATGATGGCCGCAACTTTCCCTGGAGCGGAAGTTCCTGCGACTCACTTCCCAGAGTCCGGAGTCACACGAGAGGGCCACACCCTGTACTCCCGAAGAGGAAGTGTTGTCGACTATATGAAACGTCTGACCCACACTTCCCAGAATGTTTAAGCGGAATGACGACAAGGACTCCACCAGCCTGGGCGAAAATACTTCCGACTACAGTTCCCAGAATGCCCAGCACGCTAGTGCTTCCGCCTTCCTGCAGCTCATTCTGTTGGTTCAGGGCGTTCAAACTGAAGGTCACTTCTCTAGCGCGATGAGCGCTTGGGCTTTTTATTTTTGTAATTTTTTTCCTCAAGAAAAAACGAGCATGTGGAAATATAAAGAAAATATAACTATTTGGGGATAAAAGCGAAGGTTTTAGTATGAAAAGAAACACACTTTAGCGGAAAAGTGATGAGTATGAGAAGAAACAAGATTCTAAAAGGGAGTTGGGCTGTCCACTGGACATAACCTTAAGGAATATGGAATCTCAGACGTGGTTTAACTCCGTTGCCTCTTTATATGTGCCTGTACTCATCTAGACCTCTGCTTATGCTATCTGGCACGGACAATTGATTTCAAGATGCCAAGAATCCACAAGGAATTCCAAGGACAAATCAGTCTTGAAATCAAGCACAGAAAGAGCAAGTTGTATCTGAAAAATGAAGGAAGCTGTACTGGCAGGAAATTTAGAAAATATGATATGGAAAATGGCTCCTGTCTTGAAATTTTTTGCGTTCAAATCAGGCTTCAAATTGGCTATTCCTCTGTTGCCCGTTGACCTCACATATTTAACATAAACGTATCTTTTCTACAAATCTGTTTAAGCCATGTGAATTTACGGTTATTCAGGAAGAGGTGGGTAGGTTGAGATGGGAGACGGACTCCAGATAACTATAACAAGTCAAACTACAGGAAGTATGTACTTACCACTTTCCTTCTGGGCAGGAAAAAAATTTTTTAATGAAACTTTCGATATTAACACAAAAAGGTGGAGCTTGCAGTGAGCTGAGATCGCGCCACTGCTCTCCAGCCTGGTTGACAGAGGAGACTCCATCTCAAAAACAAAAAAGAAAAATAAAAAAAGAAAATGATAACATGAAACACCAAATGCGCCTACCCTAAATTCAACACTTCCCAACATTTTGCCATACAGGCAATATCTATGACTATTGAATTTTGTTACTGAAATATTTTAAAGTAGATTCCTGGCCTTATCCCTTCCCAATACTATTTGTATCACTTAAAAATAATGATGTTTTAACATAACCACAAAATCGTTACCTCATGAAATAAAATTAACAATTCTTAGTATTATCTAATATGCATCCCAATTTGAATCCTGTTTTTTGGGGGAAAAGTACTTTTACAGCTGGTTTATTCCAGTCATTATCCGAATATTTTGATCCATTTTATTTGATTGTTATCTCACCAAGAAGTCATTTACTCTAAAACTGTGCCCCCACCCCGACCCTCCCACACACAGCACTACCACCACCATTTTTTATTTCCTTGAACTGTTGGGGAAATAAAAATGTCAAATTAGGTGTCTAAATTCTGGATTTGTCTAAAGGCATCCCCATATTTTCTCCTCTGCTCTTTTAAATGTTCTGTAAAGTAGAAATTTGATGTAAAGTCTAGATTAAATACAAGTTATTGGTTTTTGCAATACTTCATAGAAGGGACTGGAAATATTGGAAACAAAAACCATATTCTCTTCAACTAAAGTCAATGCAAATCCTCAGCAAGTTTCCCTCTGAAGAGAAAGACAAAAATAAATAACAGCATATGTGCAAAAAGAGACAGATTAAAATATGGAAACCATCATAACAAATCAGATTCTAGACTGAGTACAATGGCTCATACCTGTAATCTCCAGCACTTTGGGAGGCTGAGGTGGGAGGATTGCTTGAGCCAAGGAGTTTGAGACCAGCCTGGGCAATGCTGTGAGACCTTGTCTCTGCAAAAAATCCATTAAGGTAAGCTAGGTATTTGAGACCACTTTTATCTCAAAAAAAGTTTGAGGTGGAATTTGCCAATTCCTTAAGGTAAAAACCTGAGAAGCTGATAGTTGGAGTCTAGGACCTGCCAAAGATGGGGTGGATAACCATGGTTTAAAAAATCACTTGGGGCGTGGTGTCTTACACCTGTAATCCCAGCACTTTGGGAGGCCAAGGTGGGCAAATCACGAGGTCAGGAGATTGAGACCATGCTGGCAAACATGGTGAAACCCTGTCTCTACTAAAAATACAAAAATTAGCTGGTTGTGTTGGCGCAAACCTGTAGTCCCAGCTACTCAGGAGGCTGAGGCAGGAGAATCACTTGAACCCGGGAAGCAGAGCTTGCAGTGAGCCGAGATCATACTACTGCACTCCAGACTGGGCTACAGAGGGAGACTCCGTCTCAAAAAAAAAAAAAAAAAAAATCACTTGGGTTTTGTGTATGGAACACCAAAGGACTGCATCCTAGGTGTAAAGTTGAATGGAAAGTAGGCCCAACTTGGCAGGCATTCAAACCCAAATCCAAGTCAACTAAATCCCTGACCCTGTATTGCTTCTAAATCTGGCAGAAATAAATAAAATCCTCTATAGAGGTCCTAAGCATCCAATTATTTTTTAAACATTTTATTTTAAAATAATCACAGATTCATATGAAATTGAAAAGATAGTAGAAAGAGGTCCCACGTACCCTTCACCCAGTTTCACCCAATGATTATACTGTCCTTAATTAAAATACAACATCAAAACCAGGGAATTATATTGATACCATGAATATGTGTAGTTGTATTTTATCACTTGTATCAAGATAAATAACTATTCCATCACTGCAAAGCCCTCCTTCTTGCTACATCTTGATAGTCACACCCAGTCCCCTCCCTTCCACCATTCCTGATATCTAGAAACAACTAATCTGCTTTCCATCTCTATAATTTGGTCATTTCAAGAATGTTATACAACTAGAACCATAAAATAGATTCACATTTTTCACTTAGTTTAATTATCTTAAGATCCCTCTAAGTTGTGTGTGTATCAATAGTCCATTCCTTTTTATTGCTGAGTAGTATTCCACGGTATGGATGTACCACGATTTGTTTAACATTTACCTATTAGGGAACATTTTGGTTGTTTCCAGTTTTTTGCCATTATGAATAAAGCTACTATGAACATTCATGTACAGGTTTGTGTGCATTTGTTTGTGTATGTAAGTTTTCATTTCTCTGGAGTACATGTCCAGGATTGAAGTTATGGGGTTGTATGGTAAGGATGTGTTTAATTTTTTAAGGAACTGTCAAACTGTTTTCTGGAGTGGCTCTACTACTTTACATTCCCAACAGAAATTTGTGAGACTTCCAGTCTCTTTACATCCTTGTCAGAGTTTGACATTGTTGCTATTTTTTTTTTTTTAGCTGTTCTAATAGATGTGTAGTGATATTTCATTGTGGTCTTGATTTATATTTCCCTAATGACTAATGATGTTGATTATCTTTGCATGTGCCCCTTTGTCATACGTATATCTTTTTCAGTGAAGTGCTTGTTTAAATCTTTTAGCTTAAAAAATTGGATTGTTTTCCTATTGAGTTTTGAGAGTTTTTATATGTTCTCTATACAAGACTTTTACACATACATGATTTGCAAATAGTTTATCATTCCCTAGCTGGTCTTTTCATACCTGTGTAAGAGTTATGATTTTATTTTTTGAAAATTACTTTTTTAACAGTTTTGGGGGTCCCACAGAGATGCCAAATAGATTCATGTAACAAATCCAGGTAATATCTGTCACCAGAAAAGTACACCTCAGTGATGGTCTTAAGCCCAGTTGCATTGTTTCTTGGCTCCCAGAGGTAAATACAAAGTAGCAATAGAAATTTGTTGATCCTCTGTTTTTCTCATTTTAGTTTTCTTATAATTTTGTCTTTCAGTTTTGTTTTGTTTTGTGTTCACTTATGGCTGATAAATTTTCACTATCACTGGCAACAATAATTGGGAATTTTTTATGATCTTGTTTTTAAAGTGACTATCAGTGCTGCTCCCAATGTTCTCAACTTTTTAAGAAACTGTCCTTGTCAAAAGGCTTATAGTCTTAGACAAATTTATATGATACATTTCTTCAGCTGCTGCAAAATACGATTCGACCAACTCATCATCAGTAAATAACTTTTCTTGCTTGACTAACAGATTAGCCACTCTAAAACTTACTTTGGTTATAGCCTCATTTTCATTTGTTATTTCATAAAAGTAATTCTGCTTTGATAAAATATTCCATTTTAATTTTTTTATTTTTGGCAATAATTATCTGTGATTTGGAAATATTGGGATAAGTTTTTAATCTGGCAGTATTAATGTTATAATTTTTCTTCTTGTACAGCTGTCACTGCATAACAAACACAATAGTCAGCCGTCAGATTCTCTAACAAAATAATCCACACTTTACTATACCTTAAAAGCACGACATTCAAAATTTGATTTTCTCTTCTTGTTTTGACATGACGAATATGCAAAATAAATAAAATATCATAGAGAGTGATACATATGGCACTCAAAAATCTGTTAACTTGTAATAACTGTGTTACTGTGATTTATGATACACTGAGTAGCAGTATGAAGTGATGAGAGCATTGTATATGGTCTCTATCATAAGTACACAACTGTACCAATATAACAGGAAAACAGCCATAGACAATATGTAAACAAATAAGCATGACTGTGTTTCAACCAAAATTTATGAATGCTGAAATTTGAATTTTACATACTTATCATATGTCATAAAATATTCTTCTTTTGATTTTTTTGACTATTTAAAAATGTAGGCTGGGTATGGTAGCTCACACCTGTAATCCCAGCACTTTGGCAGGCCGAGGGCAGAATGCTTGAGCTCAGGAGTTTGAGACCAGCCTGAGCAACATGGTAAAACCCCATCTCTACAAAAATGCAAAAAATTAGCTGGACATGGCGGTGCATGCTTATAGTCCCAACTACTCAGGAAGTTAAGGTAAGAGGATTTTTTGATCCCAGGAGGTTGATGCTTCAGTGAGCCAGCCTGGGTGATGGAGTGAGACCCTGTCTCAATAAAAAATGTAAAAGCCATTATTACTTCATGGGGGCATACAAAAACAGTCAATACACCATATTTAACCATTAGGCCAGAATTTCCCAGCCACTGGCTTACTCCATCTTACCCAGAACCAGAATTCCAAATTGATCTATAAAGTCAACACAGTATCAATCAAATTTAGAGCAGGCTTTTTGCAGAAACTAATATTTAGATTTACATTGAAATGCAAAAAACAGCCAACTAAAAAAACTAGAATAGTCAAGATTGTTTTGAAAAGGAAGAACATCATTAGAGGAATAACAGTATCAGATTTCAAAACTTGTTCTAAAGCTCCTGTAGTCAAGACATAGCAAAAGCTTAACAATATCTATATAAATCAGTGGAACAGAAGTGATTCCAGAAAATACAGCCAAGTATATATGATCAGTTTATTTTCAGTGCAGCCACAAAGGTAATTCAATGGGGGAAAGTTGTTTCAAAAAATAGCACTAGAACAACTGGACACCTATTCGAAAATTATGAACCTCAACACTTACCTCACATCATACACAAAAAGAACTCAAAATAGGTAACAGACCTAAATGAAAAGCTAAAACTACAAATGTTATACAAGAAAATATAGGAGAACATTTTCAAAACCTTGGGATAGGCAAAAAAAGATTTCATAGGTAGGCAAAAAAGAGCACAAAATCTAATTTAAAAAGATAAACCAGAACTTCATCAAATTAACTTACTCTCTTAAAAACATTAACAAAATGAAGAGGCAAGCCAAGACTAGGAAAAAATATTCATAATGTATTTATCTGAGAAAGGATTCGTATCTAGGCTATATTAAGAAATCTTACAACTCAACAGTAAGGAAACAAACCAACAAAAAACAAGCAAAACTTTCAAAAGTTCTTTTCCAAAGAAGATATAAAATGACCAATCAGCACATGATAAAATGACTGATAACCACATCATTACTTATCAGGGAAATGCTAATTAAACCACAGTGAGATAACACTACAAATAATCCCAATGACTAAAAATCCCAAGTGTTGGTTAGCATGTAGAACAAGTGATCTTGCATTGACTGCTAATGGAAGTATAAAGTGGTATAGTCATTTTTAGAAATGGTAAAGTTAAACATACACTTAGCATATTCACTGTTACTTGCCTTCTACCAAAAGTATCATTCTTAAAGATGTGAGATAGTGGTTTGAGAATAAACAAAAATGGGCTGGGTATGGTGGCTCATACCTGTAATCCCAACACTTTGGGAGGCTGAGGTGGGTGGATCATGAGATCAGGAGACCATCTTGACCAACATGCTGAAACCTCCTCTCTACTAAAAATACAAAAATTAGCTGGGCATGGTGGCGGGCTCCTGTAATGCCAGCTACTCAGGAGGCTGAGGCAGGAGAATCACTTGAACCCAGGAAGCAGAAGTTGCAATGAACCAAGATCGTGCCACTGCATTCCAGCCTGGTGACAGAGCAAGACTCTATCTCAAAAAAAAAAAAAAGGTCAGAGATTTCAGTGATAAACATAAAAGATAGGAGACTCCAGGAATGGATATACCTAGTGTAGTATAAATGTGACCTTTAAGATCAGTAAATAAAAAAGGGACTCATCAATAAATGTTGAAAGCCTTGACTATCCAATTAGAAAAAATTAAAATTAGATTTGTGCCTGACACCACTTAAAACATATTCTTCATGT
The DNA here is from genome assembly GCF_000001405.40 of Homo sapiens. Taxonomy (NCBI): domain Eukaryota; kingdom Metazoa; phylum Chordata; class Mammalia; order Primates; family Hominidae; genus Homo; species Homo sapiens. The sequence continues at coordinate 30,558,698 of NC_000020.11, read as the reverse complement.
TTTGAAAATAATTAGTGCCTGGGAGTATGGGAAAGTTTTCTTTTAAAAAATCATTATACAAAAATTTCATAAACACATTGAAATTTTAACCACATAAATTTTTTTAGCTAAGTTGCCCAGGCTAGAGTGCAGTGGCTATTCACAGGCACGATTGTAGCACCCAATAGCCTCAAACTCCTGCCCTCAAGTGATCCTTCTGCCTCCCCAGTAGCAGAGACTACAGGTATGTTACTGGTATGTGCCACCCCACACAGCCCAACCACATAAAGATTTTAAGTGAACAATAAAGTACCTCATTCTTTATGTTAATAGACAAGGACAGCCAATTCTTCATAAAGATAACATACACTTAGCTTATGACAGCAATTCAACTCCTACGTATTTACCCAAGAGAAATCAAAGCATATGTCTGCAAAAACGCTAATACAAGAATATTCTTAGTAGCTTTATTCAAAATTTCCAAAACCTGGAAACAAATGTTCACCAACGTGAGAATGGGCAAACTATGGTAATTTCCTGATTACTCTGAACACAAAAAGAAGACTGACAAGCATAATAATATAAATGAACTTAAAAACATTATGTTAAATGGTGGCAGCTTCTATAGAAAACAGAATGGCAGATCCTGAAAAAATTGAAAATACAATTATCATATGATCCAGCAATTCCACTTCTGGGTATGTGTCCAAAAGAATTGAAAGCAAGGTCTTGAAGAGATATTTGTACTCCTATGTTCATAACAGCATTATTCACAGTAGCCGAAAAGTGGAAGAAACCCAAGTGTACAAAGGAAGAAAATTCTGACACATTCTACAACACAAATAAGCTTTAAGGACATTATGTTAAGTTAAATAAGCCAGTCACAAAAAGGCAAATACTGGACCGGGCATGGTGGCTCATGCCTGTAATCCCAGCACTTTAGGGGGCCGAGGTGGGCGGATCACAAGGTCAGGAGATCGAGACCATCCTGGCTAACATGGGGAAACCCCGTCTCTACGAAAAATGGAAAAAATTAGCCGGGCATGGCGGAATGTGCCTGTAGTCCCAGATACTCAGGAGGCTGAGGCAGGAAGATGGCGTGCGTGAACCCTGGAGGCGGAACTTGCAGTGAGCCAAAATGGAACCACTGCACTCCAGCCTGGGCAACAGAGGGAGACTCCGTCTCAAAAAAAAAAAAAAAAAAAAAAGTCAAATACTGTATGATTCCATTTATGTGACCCAGGGAAGTCAAATGCATAGAGACACAAAGTATAGTGGTTGCCAGTGGCTGGGAGCAGGGGAAAATTGAGGGTTGCTGTTGAATGGGATAGAGTTTTAGTTTTGCAAGATAAAATGAGTTTTGGAGACTGGTTTTACAACAATGTAAATGTACTTAACACTACTAAGCTATACACTTAAAAATGGTTGAGATGGTAAATTTCATGTTATGTATATTTCACCAGTAAAAAATTGTAAAAAGCTGAAAGCATTCCAGGTAGCTCTAGTTTGCCTCTAAGATTAAGAGACATTTATTTCCATCAAAAACCAAGGATCTGAAAGTAACCAATTTATGAGCTCACAAGTTAGCCTGACAGTCTCACAGATGCTGGCACAAGACAAAAGACTCCTGGCTCTGAGACAAAGGACTTTATTAGCCACAACCACAGCAGTAGCCAGAGTGTCATTCTTTGCAATGGTTTTTGGCATTCTAATCCCACAGAGTGACATGGAAGGCCAGGTGCCACAGGCCTAGCGGGCTGTGTTGTAGGGATAGAACCCTAAGCTTAGGAAACCTGAATCTTTTATGATAGCCTGTGGGAATAAAACCACTGCCCTTCACCCTAGAGGGAGACACTGTCTTCACTAGAGTGGGCCATAAACAAATCTACTGCTCCAGAGGGAGACACTATATTTTTGTTCCCTAACATACACCTTTGAAAAGACAGTGGGAAACAAAGGTGACCAGTGTCTCCACTCAAAGACATGCAGAAAAAGAGAAGTAGACACTTAAGTAACCATAGTGTCTGCAGAAAAATAAAAGAAAAAAATAAGGGAAGTAGATACAGAGAATGAGTGGGGAATGAGGAATAATAACTAATGTTACATTCTAATTCAAAGCTAGTTGACTTCAGAAGAAAAAGGCCAATTCTGGGCTTACATCTCCTCTGTGAGTGGTATGCTAATAAATGTTTAATAAATGGCTCTCCAGAAAGAAAAGTATGTACATTATAGAAGTTTACTATAAATTTTACTAACATAGAATGTTTTTAGAACACAATTTATAAACAATAATAAAATATGCAGTACTCTTTATTATAAATTACTAATTTAGAAAACCATGTTGAATGAAAAAAAGCCAAATACAAGAGTATCTTACAGTATGATTTCATTTATATAAAGTTCAAGAATAGGCAAACCAACATATGGTGATAGAAACAAAACAGTGATTATATCCTTTTTTGGAAAGAAATGAAGGGAAAGGGGCACAAGGGAAATTTTTGGGGTAAATAAAATGTTTAACATGTTGAATGGGCATTATTTACAAGGATATGTACATTTGTTAAAACAAATGTAGTTAAAGTCTGCATTTTATGTAAATTATACCTGAACAAAATGAGTTTAAAAAAAGACAAGACAGATCAGACACCTTTGGTAGCTGTTACTATGTGCTTCTATGGGCAGTCTAGTGGAGGCATAGCCACTGATCCCAGTCTGCCAGCTGCATGCTATTTGTATTTATTGCCTGCAATTGTATGAAGAACTAGTGTTAAGTAGCCAGTGAACCCAGCATCAGTTATTAAATGACTATTATTTCTCCAACGTATTTCAAGGCTGATAAACTGACTCACTGTATACATGTGGATCTGTTTTTAGACTCCCTATTCTTTTCCATTGATCTATTTTTTCTCTCCTGAGCTAATACTACACTGTATTAATTATAGAACATTTATAATAAATGTTGATCTCTGGTAGTGTAAGTCCACCAATGTTGCTCTTCATCAAATTTTATCATCACACATAAGGGACTTCTTTTTTTTTTTTTTTTTTTTTTTTTTTTGAGACAGTCTCTCACTGCCGCCTGGGCTGGAGTGCTGTGGTGTGATCTCGGCTCATTGCAACCTCCACCTCCTGGGCTCAAGCCTCAGCCTCCTGAGTAGCTGGGATTACAGGTGCCTGCCACTATGCCCAGCTAATTTTTTAGAGACGGAGTTTCACTATGTTGGCCAGGCTGGTCTCAAACTCCTGATCTCATGATTTACCCTCCTCGGCCTCCCAAAATGCTGGGATTAGGACTAAGTTTTATAGGGAAAATATATAAGCTAAGGGTCTGGAAGAGAACGCACAGGACCACAGTTTCTCACACCACTTGAGGAAGCACCAGGGCCTGAGTGAAGCAGGAGATAGACCACACCTCACCCCTATCTTTTTATCCTTCTTAAAGAGCAATTGTGAAGGCATCCATGTTGGTGAGGGAACAAATTGACTATGCAGGTAATCTGGACTACTTAACTAAAGCAGACAATCTGGCTTTAGTTGTCAGATCAAATGACTAATTGATCTAACAGATTGACTAAAGCAGACAATCTGGCTTTAGTTGTCAGAGCTTCACAGAAGTTGCATGAGAAAGCCAGGTTCTAACACCTCCCATCAGAAAGAGAAAGCCGCTAGGAAGTTGAGCTCATGTAAAGCTTTTCCCACTGAAGAATGTGGGAGTCTGAGGCTCCAGATAGCTACTCACCTAGGCATCCCAAAGGGAACTCCCAGAATTACCTTTGGAGAATTCTGGTCTTTGCACACAATTGTTATTGTGAATGAAACATTTTGGCTACATTTTATAAAAGACTCTTAAATAGTAATGCTATGAATTTTCATGTGCCAATTTTGTATGAAACCAATTTTTTGAACTGATAATTTTAAAACATACTTCAATTGGTCAAATTTTACAGGCAGATTTGAATTTTATAAGTAAATAACATTATTCTCTAACATAAAAATAGTACCTTCTTTTTCCTTCCAATGATTACGTCTCAACATTTTTTATCTTGTCTTAATCCCACCGCAAGAATCTGGGCCAGTGTTGTGACTTGCTTTAATCATTAGAATGTGGTGGAAGTATCATTGAGCCTGTTCTCTGATGAGGCCTTAAGAGATCACAGCTTTTGCTCTTGAAACCCTGGCACTATGGGACCAACCCTAGATTGGTCTTCTGGATGATGAGAGACCATGATGACAGAGAGAACTTCGTTGTCTCATCTATGACCATCATAAAATAGCCAGGCCCAGATGAGCCATCAGCTGAATGCAGATGCATGTACAAAGCCCAGTTAAGATAATCTAGCATGTCCCACACCAGAACTGCCCAGCTAAGCCGAACTGAACTTGCCAGCTCACACATCATGAGCTAAATAAATTTGTATGTAGAGCTACTCAGTTCTTGTGTGTGTTATGAGGCAGAAGCTGATAAGCATATTTAGGATAAATTATACATGAGCAGAGTCTGTTATGCTTTTATCAAATCATTGGATTTGACATGCTCATATTTATTTAGGATCTCTGCATCTATATTTGTAAATGAGTTGGCTCCCACTGATTGGGAGCTAGACTAATTTCTGCTTTTTCCATGCTACTTTGTTACAAGAGGAAAAGCAAACAATTTTATGAAGTAGGGAGACAATCCTGTTAGCATCATATATTTAAAAAGCTTAATGTGATATGCAAGTGCTGCTCCTGGCCAAACTGGAGGATTGCCTGGGACACCTCGACCAAGGCTGAGGGCCAATTCTGTCATGAGGGAATGTTGCACCCATTCTAAACCCCAAAAGCTTCCTGGGATAATGTGTATCCCAGATCTTTTCTCTAACCTACTGTTTGCAAGTAGGAGGACTGGAGTATGTGGTGGACATGGACAATAATATGTGGACATTTTTATAGGTCTAGATCATTGTTGATGGAGCCATGTTATTCCATTATATGGGATGCCCTAATTTACTTAATCTCTTATACATGAAGCTTCAGGTCATTTATGGTCTTCTTATTGCAAAATTCTTAGAACATATTTCTTTCTGAAACCATCTTTTTCCACTCATGTAATTACATCCTAAAAATACATTCTGAGAAGCAGGATCATTGGCTCAAAGACAATGCACATTGTACATCTGATACATATAGACAAGATCCTCTCCAGCAACTTGGTACCTGTTTTTTTCCCCCACCAACTTATGTAAGAACACTCATTTCCTCATTTCTACTGACACAGAATTTTTAAAATATTTCACTCTTATCCACCTGCTCAGTAAGAAAATGACACTTCAGGGATGGTTTTATTTGCACTTGAATGGCTGTTCTGTTTACAAACTATAACTGGCAGGAAAATATAATGCAAGAAAAACTAGGAATAAACCATGATCCAAATGAAGAAACTTATAAGTCAATTAAAACAGAAAAGGACATTGTTTTTGAAGAAAAAATAAAAGACATTGTGGGCTGAGTGCAGTGGCCCACACTTGTAATCCCTGCACTTTGGGAAGCTGAGGTAGGAGGATCGCTTGAAACCAGAATGAGACTAACCTGGGCAACAAAGCAAGACCCCATCTCTACAAGTAAATTTTTAAAAGAAAACATTAGCTGAACATGGTGGTATATGCCTGTAGTCCCAGCTACTCAGGAGGCTGAGGCAGGAGGATCACTTGAGCCCAGCAGTTCAAGGCTTCAGCAGCAAGCCATGATCAGGCCACTGCACTCCAGCCACCTGGATGACAGAGCAAGACCCTGTTTCCAAAAAAAAAAAAAAAAAAAAAAAAGCAATGAGATCTCCTCTCGAATTCATCTATTATCCCCAATTAAATGACAATTTTGGTAGGAAGCTGACAGAAAGAGCACCCTTTAAAAACCCATTATTATACAAGTCTGCTGAGAAGAAGACTGCATCAGTCTGCAATGAACACTGTTGGTTTTTTACATGTTGTTGCTCACTTTAGTAAATGTTAGTTTTATTCAATTAATTTTATTAAGACTAACCACAGAACACCTATTCTAGTCAATTTTTAATCACATTTAAGGTGTGAGCTATCAAACTTATTCAGCTCCCACACTACAGAGTTTCTCTATTGTATGAGATTTCTTACGTCTGTGGGTTGTACTTTTCAGTAAAGTTTTACCACAGCTATATCATCTTGAACATTTCTCTTTGGTGTACACACCAATGAATGAAGGTTATCACTGGAGAAGTCCCATCCATACCATTTTAGATGGTTGCACTGCCACATCTAGCCTTAAAGACTTAAAAGCTTTGAACTCTGAATTACAATGTTTCTTCTGTATGTGGACTCCACTGACAATGAAACATATTGCTATAAAATCCCTCCATGCTAGTCAGGATGGCCTAGGCAATGCTGCAGTAACAAATAAACCACCAAAAATCTCAGTGGTGAGACACAGTGAATTTTTATTTCTTACTCTAAAAAGAAATCCAAAACAGATCAGATAGCGACCTTCTATCAATGCAGTCTGGAATAAGCAGCCTCAAAGGTCACCTTGGCAGGAATAGAGAAGCCTGAAGATGTTTATAAAGGCTAGACCTGAAAGTGGCTTATATCACTTTTGCTCACACGCCATTGGCTAGAGCTCAAACATGGGCACACTCTTAACTGCAAGTGTTACTGGGAAATAGAGTCTTCCTATTTGCAAGGAAATGGAACCAGTGTGATAAACACAGCACTGCCTCTACCACACTCTTCAAATGCCACTTCTGTAGAGCTTCTCGCCTGTGCAGAGAATCTCATGGAAAACCTGAGTACTAATGTTCTTTCATGGTAAGAGCATCAGTTTCATTTCTGAGCACAATTTTGAATGTTCTTCATACAGAGAGTATTTTTCTGTTGGGGACTAAAAAAAATCTCAGGACTTTGGCTAAACTGAAGACCTTACCATAATCATCCCAATTAGAATTTCCTTCCTGGACACACCCTTTAATGGAAATTTGACCTCTAACTACAAACACTACCACAAACCACCCATTTGTCAAGAGTAACCTACTTTGCCATTGTAGCATACAGCAGTTGATGGGAGCTTCACAGAAGTTCTTGAAATCCACAACCCTTGCCTGGCACACTCCAGTGCTGCAGGCTGACATTATTGATGGCAGTGTCCCTGTCTTTTGCTCCCCCAGCCCTCCCACAGGCTGAGTAAGCCTCTGTTATCTGGAATACAGTGTGGCTTGTTTTCCTAATTTAACCCTGACTTACTACGTTTATAATGTTTCTCTCTGCTCATGTAGTCTTTGATGAGTCAGAAGGTCTTTGCCATGCTCACAATGTGTGTACTGTGTCTCATCTATACGCACTCTCTGTTGGACAAGGAGGTGCGAATTACGACTGAAGCCCTTACCACATGCCTTACACTTATAGGGCCTCTGTCCTCTGTGGACTCTGAGATGAACATGAAGATCTGAATTCCAACTGAAGCCTTTACCACACTCATCACATTTATATGGTTTCTCTCTTGTGTGATCGCTTTGATGGAAGTGCAAATATGAACTGTAACTAAAGCACTTTCCACACACTTCGCATTTATATGGTTTTTCTGCAGTGTGAACTCTCTGATGAGTGTGAAGAACAGAACTATACCCAAAATCCTTTCCACACACATTGCATTTGTATTGTTTCTCCCCTGTGTGGACTCTCTGGTGAATGTGAAGGTGTGTACTTTGGCTGAAGCCCTTTCCACACTCACCACACCTATAAGGTTTCTCCCCTGTGTGAAACCTCCAGTGGACTTGAAGAACGGAGCTTGAACTAAAGCACTTGCCACACTCACTGGATTTGTAGGGCTTCCCTCCAGTGTGGACTCTCTGATGGATAAGAAGGTTGGAGCTCTGTTCAAAGCGCTTCCCACACTCTTCACATTTGTAGGGCTTTTTCACTGTGTGTACTCCCTGATGAATAGAAAGAAGTGACCGAAATCCAAACGCTTTCCCACATACGTGGCATTTGTAGGGCATCTCCCCTGTGTGGACTCGATGATGGTTGTGAAGGGAGGAGTTGCACCTGAAGCCCTTGCCACATTCTTTACATTTGTAGGATTGTCTCCTGAGGGGACTTTCTGACATCTGGGAAGGTCTGAGCTCTGTTTGCAGCCTGTAGGCCATTCGTGGAATTCATAGGGAGTCTCTCTTGAGTGGGTTTTACAATGAATGATAAGATATTGGCTCTGACTTAAGTTCTTTCCATACTGGTCACATTTATAAGATTTTTCTCCTAGGTGAGTGCTGTGATGGGCACGAGGATCTGTATCATCTGCAAAGGCCACCCCACAGTTATTACATGTGAAAGGCTGTGGTAAAACATGGACCACATGATGTTGTTCAACTGTTGATTTCATACCCAAGTTTTTCCCACAGTTGGGGTGTCTACCAGGGTCCTCTCCTTTACATTCTTGGGACTCATGATGATCACATGAGGTCCAATTGAGGCTCTCATCATGCCGAGCACGTCTGTACAATTTCTCTTCCACGTAAATTCCCTTATATCTTTCCTGAGATTTCTGGGGCTCGGTCATTATGTTGGCTTTCCTCCAAGATTCTGGAGTAAGAACCTGTGTCAGGCTTTGCCATGCTGTGATATCTTGATTTTTGATAATGGCATTTACTACATAGTTTTCATTTTCAGAAATCTGAAGAGACACGCCTGCCCACTCTTCACAGAGGGAAACATCTTCTAAATGTGGGGAACACTGTTCTTGAAGGTTCATGATATAATCCTGACTCACACTTAAATCCCGGATCCTTTGTTTCCAAATCTGCCAGCAATGAAGCACTTCTTGAGAAAGGTAACTTAACCCCGTTCCCTGAAGATTCAAAATGTTGTTTTTAATCCCGTCTCCCATGAGAAGAAAGAGAATTTGTGAATCACCTGTCCAGAGGTTTTGAGAAAATGAAATATGATGGGGTGGGAAGTTGTCCCTGGCTTCTATTGGCATGGGAAACAGAGCCACAGTAATTCTAACCTGTGAGCTGCCAATTAGAAATCAAGTATTGTAGGGAAATTAAGAGAAATCTTGGCCAGGTGCAGTGGCTTATGGCTGTCATAGCAACACTTTCAGAGGCTGAGGTGGGAGGATCACTCAAGCTCAGGAGATCAAGACCAGGCTGGGCAGTATGGTGAGATCGCATCTCTACAAAAAAATTGAAAATTGGTTCTGTTTTGCCTATGATTTCAGCTACTTGGAAATCTGAAGTTGGAAGATTGCTTAATCCTGGGATGCAGAGGCTGCAGTGATCCAAGATTGTGCCACTGCATTCCAGCCTGGGTGACAGAGCAAGACATTTCCACCCCCACACAGCAAAAAAGAATAAAAGGAAATCTTAGGAAAAATTTATGAAGGAAGAAATTCACCTCCCCACTATAAGAGTGGTCAATAAAAAGACTTTAATAATCTTGCTACAAAAGGTATGGGAAAGGCTCCCATTTTATGTAGTATATGTGTGTATAGAAATAATACATATTGATGGAGTGTTTTTTATATGTTGGGCAGAGTAAGGGACACAAAGGGTCACAAGAGGTTTCAGAAACAAGTAAGTCCTATCTCCTGATGGCTTCCCTTCCTTCACATCACTGTCATATGGAGGACTATCATGTATGTTTGTGTACAACCTGCACAACTGTACATGGTGAGCCTTAAGGGGATGGGGATAAAACGGCAATGGGGATTGAAATAGGGATAAACATTGTGAAATGTGGTCCTGGCGTTGTGCGGGGATGCATATGTAAACCTCTGAGACAAGCTTTAAGAGACATCCTTTTTATTTTCCCCGAGGTTCTTTATCTTCATGAAAAGATAGAGACCACTCAGATACTATAATCCATTTCTTTAAGTTCTGACCTTTTAAGTTATTGCAGAATCTCAAAGAGCCATGACTTTGAGAATGGGGAACAGATACTGTGGCACTGTCAATGGCCTGGCACCCAGGGAAGCAAGACTGTGGTATATAACAAACAGGGGGCTGAGGCAGAAGAGGATGATCATATTTTTGGGACCCTAAGATGGGTTTCAAAATGGCATGAATATCATGGTCAAGTCCCACTGGATACCGCTTCTGGTTCAAGGTCCTTTCTGGGTTGTTTTATTGAAAGTGACTTTAGTTTATAAGATAGTATCAGGGAAAGGGAGACCATGAGCTGCCCCAAATGGGTTCTAAGCAGTGGTTTCCCAATTGTTTTGATTGTAACCCACAATAAAATCAGCATTGTGACTCAGTAGGAATAGGCACAGACATCAACACCGACTGCTCACTAAAACAGAAGTTTTATCAGCTGATACTTACATATGATGTGCAATGCATTTTGATAAATTCTTCTGTTTTCTGCTCTATTAATCTATTTTGCTTTTTAAAAATTGCTAGTTATGACACAGTAATTTGATTTCAGGACTCATCAAGAGGGTTTTATCCTGCAGTTTGAGAAACAACTGCAGGGATATGCAGATTTATGTAGAAGGTCCTGTGTCTACAGATTACACGTTGGTTTCACCAGGTTATTTATTAAAAACACAGGACCTAGGGCCAGATTAGGAGGGCTCAAATCCTAGTTCTTCTTATAAGCTGTGTGATCATGGGCAAGTTATTAATTCTGTGACTCAGTTGTTTCATCCATTGGTATGGTTTGGCTGTGTCCTCACCCAAATCTCTTCTTGAATTGTAACTCCCATAATTCCCAAGTGTCATGTCCCATAATTCCCACATGTCACAGCCCCCACACAGAGTCCCTAGCAGGGCACTACCTAGTGGAGCTGTGAGAAGAGGGCCACTGTCCTTCAGACAGCAGAATGCTAGATCCGACAGCTTGCACCGTGTGCCTGGAAAAGCCACAAACACTCGACACCAGCTCACAAAAGCAGCCAGAAGGGAGACTATACTCTGCAGAGCCACAGGGGTGGAGCTGCCCAAGACCATGGAAACCCATCTCTTACATCAGCGTGACCAGGATGCAAGACATGGAGTCAAAGGAGATCACTTTCGAGCTTTAAGATTTGACTGTCCCGTTGGATTTCAGACTTGCATGGGGCCTGTAGCCCCTTTGTTTTGGCCAATTTCTCCCATTTGGAACAGCAGCATTTACACAATGCCTGTACCTGCCCTGTATCTAGGAAGTAAATAAATTGTTTTTTTTTATTTTACAGGCTCATAGATGGAAGAGACTTGGCTTGTCTCAGATGAGACACTGGACTGTGGACTTTTGAGTTAATGCTGAAATGAGTTAAGACTTTGTGGGACTGTTGGGAGGCATGATTGGTTTTGAAACGTAAGGACATAAGATTTGGGAGGGGCCGGGGTGGGATAATATGGTTTGGCTGTGTACCCACCCAAATCTCATCTTGAATTGTAACTCCCACAATTCCCATGTGTCATGGGAGGAACCTGGTAGGAGGCGATTGAATTATGGGGGCGGGTCTTTCCTGTGTTGTTCTCATGATAGTGAATGAGTCTCATGAGATCTGATGGTTTTTAAAAGGGAGATCCTGAATGGGCGCAGTGGCTCACACCTGTAATCCCAGCACTTTGGGAGGCCAAAGTGGGTTGATCATGAGGTCAAGAGATTGAGACAATCCTGGCCAACATAGTGAAACCCCGTCTCTACTAAAAAATACAAAAATTAGCTGGGCATGGTGGTGCATGCCTGTAGTCCCAGATACTGGGTTGGCTAAGGCAGGAGAATTGCCTGAACTTGGTAGTTGGAGGTTGCAGTGAGCCAAGATAGCACCACTGTACTTTAGCCTGGCTACAGAGCCAGACTCTTAAAAAAAAAAAGGGGGGGTGGTTTCCTGCATAAGCTCTCTTCTCTTGTCTGCCACCATGTAAGACGTGCCTTTCACTTTCCACCATGACTGTGAGGCCTCCCCAGGAATGTGGAACTGTAAGTCCAATACATCTCTATCTTTTGTAAATTGCCCAGTCTCAGGTATGTCTTTATCAGCAGTGTGAAAACAGAGTAATATGTCCATAAAAGGGGGATAATAACAGTAACTATCTGTATTAGTCCATTCTCATGTTTCTAATAAAGACATACCCAAGACTGGGTAATTTATAAAGGAAAGAGGTTTAATTGACTCATATTTCCATATGGCTGTGGAGGCCTCAAAATCATGGCAGAAGGTGAAGGAAGAACAAAGGTACATCCTACATGGTGGCAGGCAAAGAGAAAGCCTGTGCAGGAGAACACCAATTTATAAAACCATCAAATCTCATGAGACTTGTCACTCTCATAAGAACAGCATGAGAAAGACCCCTGCCCCATGATTCAGTTACCTCCTACCAGGCCCCACCTACAACATATGGGAATTATGGGAGCTACAATTCAAGATGAGACTTGGGTAGGGATATAGCCAAACCATATCTCTATCTCATAAACTAAACTTAGGTAGCACATAACTGTATATGAACCTCTGAGAAATGAAAATGAGGTTAGATATTTATCAAAAAGTAATCAAATAAGCCAACACTTAGATTACACTTACTACATACCAGTAAGTGTTGGCTATTGTAACTGCCAACCAAATCAAAGTTCTCCCTTTGTTCCTTTAACACTGGTTTATCCAAAACATTGGATAAACATTGATTTTTCTCCAGAAGCATCCAATAGATCAAGGCTCTTGGTGATGTGTGAATTTTATGTCTCATTCTGAGAAATATGAGGAAAGAATGAGAGCCTAAATGTGTGATTAGGGGAGGGAGGGATTACTACCTGCATTGAATGCCCACAGGCCAGGGGTATGAGATTTGGGGAGAGCTCCCTCACAAACCCATCACAAGGGGCCAGATCCTCACATTGATCTGTAAAAGCTCATTAACTGCAGGGTTCTAACCTGCACATGCATCTCTTAGGTGTTTTCTTTCCAGTGGTCAAAGTTTCTCTTTGTGATCTAACTGGAGTTTTCTATGTGGTTTGAAATGATGATTTCAGGACACAGGTCCAGTGGTCTGATGCTCAGTTACTCACCCACTGAGATGAGGTTCCTGAAGTTTTCCAGCATCACATCTTGGTACAGGTTTATCTGGGATTTATCCAATACTGCCAGCTCTTCCTTGGTGAAGATAACAGCTATGTCCTTGAATGTCGCCCTTTCCTAAAACATCAACCACATGCCACGTCAATCATCCACACAAATGACTGGTCTTAGTCTGTTTGGGCTGCCTTAATAAAATACCACAGTCTGATTAGGTTAAACAAAATAAACTAACTTCTTACTGTTCTGGAGGTTGGAAAGTCTAAGATCAAGTACCACCAAGATAGGTTTCATTCAGGTTTCTTCTCTTGGCTTGCAGACAGCTGTCCTCTCACTGTGTCCTTACATGGCAGAGGGAGAATGAGAGCAAGCTCTGTTGAGGCTGTCTCATAAGGACATTAATCCTATTGGATCAGGGATTCCCAAAGGACAATATGAATCAAATTATAAAATATGGCCCAGGAAATAGGCACAGATAAATCTATACTAAGGTGTTGTGCTGATACACAAGTCTAGTACTGTTCCATGAGTTCATTTCTCATCACACACCAAGATTTGGTATTTTCACTTTTTCATGGCAGATTAATCTATTTTTATCATGTTAAAAGGAACTAAGAAGACAGGGTAACTAAAAGCCTGGCTCCTAGATTCAAAAAACACAATAGAGAAAAGGGAGATTATTAGCATAATTAAGAACACTTGGATATCAACTAGGTATTAAAAAATAGTGGTATCAATGTGAAATTTCTCGAGTATGTTAGCAGTAATGTGGAAATGTAGGAAAATGCTCTTACTCTTAGGAGATACAAGCTGAAATATTTAGGAATGAATTATAATCATGCCTGCAATTTATCCCCAACTGGGTCATCAAAATAAAATATAGATATGTGTGTGTATATATGTATATTATGCATATGTTTATGGGTGATTGTTAACAATTGGTGAATCTAGGTGAAGATTACACATTATGCTATTCTTTCATTTTCCTGATAAATTGAAATTTCTCAAAATAAAAGGATGTGGGGAATAATCTGATATTAATAACCATCTCCTAATCAAGAAAACAATTTTTATGTAAAATATTTCTATTGCTGCATATATCACACTGCTCAGAGTTAAGTATTTACAGATATGTTCTCTCAATAGACTCTGCATCTCTAAATAATGCAGAACTTTCAAATGAAAGTTGTAAGCAGTTACAAACAACTTCACAAAGAATATGTTCCTAACAATTGTCCAATTACCAAAATCTGACAATGATTAAAAACAAAATCTAGGGGAGTCAGCACGGTTGTCCTAATAGCATCACTCTCTCTGTAACACTACTGTATGCCTTCTTCTGTGGGAGGCAACAAAATTGAATTGGAGTTAATCATTCAGGAAATACAGATACCCTGAAGTCTGCTTGGGGTGTTCCAACGTAGGAAGAAGGGGTTAGGAATAGAGGTTCACCCAGCCTACACCCCATTCTCCCTTCTCTGCCTCAACTATAGAGCCTGGGAAAACAAAACACTCATTTCTCCACCACCCTTGTAGCTGGATGGATGCCTTGTAGGAATCCTAGGCAGCGATTGTCATAGGATGCAGATACAAGGACAGCCCCAAAATATTAAGAAACCAAATTTTTCAACGAATAAACACTTGCAAAAATCTATAAATATTTTCCTTTCTGAAGTATTCTTGTATAACCATCTATGAAGTATTCTTGTAAAACCTTGAACCTGAATCTATTCAAGCATCTGGTGCTTCCACTTACAAGAAATACTGTGGATAGAGTAACACATTGAAAGACACCAAAAGGAAGCAAGCAAATGCATTCCAAATGTAGGAAAGAACACAGGATACCAAACTTGGTTTCTACAACAAGTCAATAGCAGGAGAGAATAAAGTAGAGGGGCAGATTTCTCTAGATTAAAAGAGATTATGAGACACAACAGCCAACTATATGATAGTATAGACTTTTGGTAAGATCCCATTTGAACAAACCAACTGTTAAAAATTTTTTGAGATAATCAGGGAAATTTGGTTATTGTCTGGGTATTAGATAATACCAAATAATTATTGATTATCTCATTAGTCAGTTTTTAAGGAAATATATACTGAAATACATAGAGAATGTGGTAAATTAGATTGCTGTTTAGAAATATCCTCTTCCATGCTCACCAATCCCACTAAAGGACCAGAGTGTGTTTTCTTACCCCTTTAGTTTTGACTTGGCAATGTAACTTGCTCTGGCTACCAAAATGAAGCAGAAGTGAGAATGTGCCATTTCTAACCTGGGCCTTGACAGATCTCACGCGTTCACTTGCTCTCTTGTAACTCTGTCTTCACTATGAGGACACACCCAAGCTAACCAAAACCAGCAGAGTGCTACCAAATACTCATGGCATTGGCTTTAGGTCCAGGCCATAACCATTGAGGACACTGTTATAGGAGGCTGGAAAAATGGTGACCTGGGTGATGTAGTGGTGAACACTTGGTAAACTGTTGCTGTAATTTAGAAGATAGAAAATGTACCTAATGAATCTTGGACTTGGGCAAGATGGTTTCCAGGCAGAAGGATAAAGTGTGAGCTCTTTCATTTTAGCTGCATATATAATAAGGTACTATACAAAAGCGATGTGCTCAGAGAAAAACCAATACAGTGTAAATACCATGCCTCTTTCAAATACTCTGGGAAAGAAAAAACTGAAAAAGAGATTAAGCAAATCCCTTTGGCAATAAGTTAATCGTTGAAACTTCATGATGGGTACTGCAAATGGAGCCTCATAATACCATTTGTTCTTTTTGTGTATTTTCATAATTAATTTTTTTCATGATTAAAAGAAAATCCTTCCTCCACACTGTGATGGTCTTTTTAATGTGGCAACTTGGCTAAGCTACGGTCCTCAGTTATTGAATAAAACACTAATCTAGGTATTGCTATGAAGATAATTTGTAGATGTGATTAAAGTCCATAATCAGTTGACTTTAAGGGAGATTATTCTAACTAATCTGAGTATGTCTGACTCAAAAAACTGAAGGGTCTTATGAGCAGAGCTGAGGCTTCCCTGGGAGGGGGAGAAATTCCACCCATAGACAGGGGCTTCAGTCTGTGTCTAAGAGTTCTGGCCCACCCTTCCTGAGGACTGCCCTGTGGATTTTGGACTTGCCTAGTTAGCCCCCATAATCATATAAATCAATTCCTTATGATAAATCTCTTAATATATATCTCTTACTGGTTCTGCCTTGCTGGTTGAATTCTGACCAATACATACCCATTCAAATCTTGTTACTTATCGAACGAGACCAGTGACATTTAGAGTATGGTCATGTATATGCTGCCCATGCACTCAGATGCTGCGGCAACACCAAATTGCTATAAAAGCTTCTGAACTTAGTCTTGATTCTTTTTCCCTCATGGGGCAGTGATAAGCAGTTCATGGACTGGTACTGGTACACGAACCACACTTAGAGTAGCACCAAAGTAGACATCTTGAAATCTGTGAGTTTGTTTCTTCACTTCTATAAAGGGAGTCAAACCACCTGCCTCACAAACTCATGATGAGCAAGATGAAGTACCTAATACATAGTAGTCACTCAAAAAATGCTGACCACCTTTCAGAAAACAGAAGTGCTGGTTCCTCAGAATGAACAGTATATTTAAAGAGAAAGAAACCCTTAACTTACCTGGAACTTAATCATACTGTCTTCCTTTTGGAAAGGGCAGGATTCTGGAAAAGCAGAACTGCAAAGAAGAAAGAATCCATGAGATCATGGATTCAACAAGTTATAAATGAACATTGGTTCCTTCCTTATCTGTACAAATTTCTCACAATTTCTTCTCTCCCTAGATATCTCTTCTCATTCTGAACAGACTGAACTCCCACCTCCTCAAGACTTCCCTAGATTTGTCCCCAGTCCCTCAATCTCAGACCACTGTGTAACTCCTATCTCTCTCCTCAAGCTTTTGGGTCAAAACCTGCACATTTTTTCCTTTTCTCAGACTTGTGAATGAACTGACATAATCTACATCTGAATTACGCTGGAAAAAAGGCTCCAGAATTGCTGAGTAAGGGAGCAATCTCAGGGCTGGGCACAGTGGCTCACGCCTGTAATCCCCAGCACTCTGGGAACCCGAGACGGGTGGATCACTTGAGGCCAGGAGTTCGAGACCAGCCTGGCCAACATGGTGAAACCCTGTCTCTACTAAAAATACAAAATTAGCTGGGCTTGGTGGTGGGCACCTGTAATCCCAGCTACTCAGGAGGCTGAGGCAGGACAATCACTTGAACCTGGGAGGCAGAGGCTGCAGTGAGCTGTGCTTGCACCACTGCACTCCAGCCTGGGCAACAGAGACAGACTTTGTCTCCAAAAAAAAAAAAAAAAAAGGAAAAAAAAAAGAGAGCAATCTCAGGATGACAGGGACCTTCTGCTATTTCCACTTTCACATGAAAGACTTGATCTTGTATGGCCAGGCCTGTGGTCTAAAGAACTTGCGATTAGCCAAGATATACAAATTAAATCCCAATTTTTATTATCACGTTAATCAATAATACAAATTTTTAAACATCTACACCTTGATTCTTGGCTTCCTAAACTGTCTCTCCAGCACCCATTCTATCCCTTGCTTTTGCAAATATTGATGACACACTTATGACATATAAGACACATCCTCTGCTCTGGAAATGCTCACAGTATACTGAACTGTACATGTTCTCAGACTGCACGTAGACCAAAGTAGATAGATAGACCTTCTAAGCTTGCCACTTCATATACACTAAAGTCCCTTCCTGTTCTGCTAATATCAGTGGATTCCCTTGCCAATTAGCTTCCAGTTGGGTTCAGCCAATGGGGAAAGCCAGCAAGAGATCCAGGGAAGGGACAAGAGTGAAGTCAGAATATTTATTCCCCCAGGTTTTTCCCTAGAGGTTGCTGTGGAATGGCTATGCTCCATATCCATTGACCAAAGGTCATGGCCACCATCAGGCAGCTGTCATCCCATAAATCTTTCTTCACATTTTAGTGACTGCCTCCTCCCTTAGCCCTTCAGTCCTAAAGGCAGTAAGTTACCCTGCTATCACTAGCTCTGAAATATTGCAATACCCTTTGTTGATTACCACAGCCTGCCTACAACTTTATAGATTGTCCCTTTATTAAGCTCTTCTCAAATTACCCAATTTGAGTGTTCTGTTTATTTTTTATTGGGATTCCATCTGGTAAAAGCTGTAAGCTCAATTGCCTCTCGCCTTTGTGGGGAAACTTACTGTATAAAATTGCCACTTTAAGCACTGTGTAAACTCCAAAGATTAAAAAATAAAAGCCAAAAACCACGTTTCTGCCTTCTCAGATAGTGCTTCTCACACTATCTGTGATAAAGGACTAGTTTTTATATTATTATTACCGTTACTTTCAGTCTGTCACAGACTGATATTTTGGTAAGATACAGTAAAAAGAAATTACTGGAAAAAGGAAATTAAGAAGGTATGCAAATTAAAGCCCAATTGTTATTATTATATTAATCAATAAGACAAAATTTTAAACATCTACAATCAAGTTCTCAAATTATCTGGTCACAGACCAATATCATTTATTGGCACTGGTCTGTTGGTTACCCTTTGAATTGCAGCTCACAGGGTTATAGAATCAGGTTAATAGAATATGAAATGTCTTTTTGGTAAATCCTTGGACTCTTTTTCTCTCCTTTAATACCTTTAAGAGACATCATTAATCACTTCTTATTTTGGGCTCCAATAAAGGCCAAAATAAGGAATGTTCAACTTATTAATACAGCATGAATTACATCATTTTACAATAGTTAAAACCTACCAAGGAAACACTCCTCCTTTCCCCTGTCAAAAAACTACAAATCCTAAAAAAAACAAAACAAAACAAAACAAAAACAAACAAACAAAAAAACAAGCTGTAGTCTTTTATCCACTGTACTTGCTAAGGATCTTATCATTTAACAAGCACTCAATCAATGTTTCTTAATATTAACAAATGCACAAACAGAATTGGCTTGGATATTATACATTATACGCACGTGCAAAGACATAAACTCACCCTCTACTTCCAGTACCCGTTCTCACTTAAGAGCCAATAATGGGACAGATTTATTTTCAAGCACACATCTACACACATGCAGTCACACATATATGGTTGAGGGTTTGGTTTCCTGAATTTCTGGCTTCAGACACTCCCTGCCTGTATCAACTATGGGCCATGGCAGGAACCAGATGGCACATTCAAATTTGAGGGGAGTTTAATAAACAGACAGCTTACGATGGTGTTGGCTGGGGGCAAGGAAATCAGAGTGGATAAGGCTCTATCCTGGGAAGTGACAGGGAGGTGCCATTATAATACCTGGGCCTTAAGAGGTAAGGGGAGGGAGCAGTCCCTGGAGCCTGGAACTGAGAGGACTGTGTGGCCAGGGCCACCCAAACCATGACCTGTTGTTTAGAAGGGCAGCTAATCTGTGACAATCCTGCAGAGAGAGAACTGGGGGACAAGATCCTCCAACTCACACTTCTTTCTCTCTCCAAACTTTCCTGTTGAGACTTCCCACTGGCCAAAGACAAGCAAGGCCAGAAGGCAATGGTGGCCTTTCAGGGCAGACAGCAGGGTGGAAAAGGTGGGGAGCCAAAGGCATGGGACACGTGGCACCTCAGGACTCTTGTTTTTTCCCTATCTGCCAAAGTCCACACAGCTCTCTCACACAAATGCCTTTCTCATCCCTCAACCTGACAACTACTCTGATCTGAGGAATACATCAGGAATGAGACCAGATGCCCATATCAACCTCTTCAGGGAATGAAGACCTAGAGGAAAAGTGCAGCTGAATCTGGAACTGAAATTGTCCAGAAACACGATCAGAAATGTAATAAATGCTGCTATTACACCTAAAATAATTAACACTAAATCTCTAACTTTATCAAATATACAGAGAGCGTTCAAACTTCAAATTTGGTGAGTGTAATTTAACAACTTACATTTGCTCACGTGCTTTATAATACTCAAATTCCGTACTCCCTGGCTCACAGCATGTGAGGTGAGAATGGAGTTAATAATTTGGAGCAGTTCTTTTATTTTCTTTCTTTTTTTTTTTTCTTTTGAAACGGAGTCTCGCTCTGTCGCCCAGGCTGGAGTGCAGTGGCGCGATCTCGGCTCACTGCAAGCTCCGCCTCCCGGGTTCACACCATTCTCCTGCCTCAGCCTCCCGAGTAGCTGGGACTACAGGTGCCTGCCACCATGCCCGGCTAATTTTTTTCTTTCTTTTTTTTTTTTTTTTTTTAGTAGAGACGGGGTTTCACCGTGTTAGCCAGGATGGTCTCGATCTCCTGACCTCGTGATCCACCCAAAGTGCTGGGATTACAGGAGTGAGACACTGCGCCAGGCCTGGGGCAGTTCTTTTCAAAATGTGTTCGGTGACATTAAACTCCAGAGTTTTTACAGTCTGAGTTGTTTCTTTATTGCCAGAAGCCGGAACCTCTGCCCTGAAGTCAGAAATGCCCCAATGGAGTCAGAGCTGCCAAAATCCAGAGTTCAGACCCAAGACAACTCCCCATCCAAGAACCTAGGGGTGCTGAGCCAGAATCGCCCCGACCAAACTGAGCGAGAATAGCCCAAGCCATCCTCTATCTCCAGAGACAAGCTGCTTAAGCAAATCTCTCATCTCATTCAGGGAGGCACAGCCCCAGCCATTACTCCCAAACCCTGAGCCAGCTCCCCTCTGCCCTCATCCAGAGATGCACATTCCAAGACTGACCCTAAGCCTCGACCCAAGGTGGCACAGCGCAAGTCGCTGTCACGAAACGTGAAGATGAACGTTTTGTCAAACCCAGGGCTGCTCCCCAAACCATCCAGCGCTCCCCAAACCCCAAGCGCTTCCCATCCCATCCCGGGTAGGTAGGGGCCGCTGAACTTCCCCAGCCTACCCCACCCACTAGGCCTTATCATTGGTCACCAGTCCCCTCCTCCACTCCTCCTACTTCAGTCCACAGGGACGGGTCACAGCTGCACATCCTACACCCCTACTCCTGGCTACACTTCCGAGAGGGGCGCGGTCCAGGCGGGCCTCACCCCAGCATCCCAAACAATGTCGCCCGCAGCTTGCGTCTGGTACCACAGCGCTTGCGCAAGGAGGCCTATGGACTACAATCCCCAGAAAGCCCCACGCGCAGCCGTGGCCATTCGCAAGGCTACCCGGGTGAAGGTAGCCTTTGACGTCAGTGCATTTGGAAGTCCTTTGACTTCCATGCATTCGTCTAAAATAATGACAATCATAATAACGATAAAGTAATGAAATGTTAAATCACTATCAACGATGAAAAGAAAAAGTTTCAATATTTTACTACTTGGAAATGAGCACTTTACCATTTTAGTGAAGACTTTTACAGGTTCTTATTTTATAGGCATGTCTTTTAATGTTAAAACCACGAAACTTTTCAATTAAAATTCACTTAAATTGTTCCATCCCCGCCCCACACCATGTTTTGTTTCTGTTGATGAAGACTCTGCATAATCTACACTTGCGATATAACATAGCCCAGTAATTTTTTTCCTAGTCTCAGAAGAAGCAGAATGAATTAACAACCATTGTCTGAATCCTTAATAGGGGAATTGCAGGAGTACTCATTACAACATAACAAGAAAACGCAGGAAGTTTTCAGATTATTTTTGAAAATTTCCCCTTGTTGGGACTTAGGCTTTATTTTACTTTATGTTATTGCATTTAAGATTTAAGATCATTAAAAAGTCAGGAAACAACAGGTGCTGGAGAGGATGTGGAGAAATAGGAACACTTTTACACTGTTGGTGGGACTGTAAACTAGTTCAACCATTGTGGAAGTCAGTGTGGCAATTCCTCAGGGATCTAGAACTAGAAATACCATTTAACCCAGCAATCCCATTACTGGGTATATACCCAAAGGATTTTAAATCATGCTGCTATAAAGACACATGCACACATATGTTTATTGCGGCTCTATTCACAATAGCAAAGACTTGGAACCAACCCAAATGTCCAACAACGATAGACTGGATTAAGAAAATGCGGCACATATACACCATGGAATACTATGCAGCCATAAAAATGATGAGTTCATGTCCTTTGTAGGGACAGAGATGAAACTGGAAACCATCATTCTCAGCAAACTATGGCAAGGACAAAAAACCAAACACCGCATGTTCTCACTCATAGGTGGGAATTGAACAATGAGAACACATGGACACATGAGGGGAAACATCACACACCGGGGCCTGTTGTAGGGTGGAGGGAAGGGGGAGGGATAGCATTAGGAGATACACCTAATGCTAAATGCGTGCAGCACACCAACATGGTACATGTATACATATGTAACGAACCTGCACGTTGTGCACATGTACCCTACAACTTAAAGTATAATAATAATAAAATTAAAAAAAATTAAGATTTCTATTAAAGAAAATTTTGGGTACTCTAATGGGGTGAGAAAATTGAATAAGAATTCCATTAGAGACCCACAGTTTTAGCCTGGAGGAAAGCCCTGATAATGGGTGAGAACAATCTCTCTCCTAGGAATGGTCACCTGGTCCTGCTGGCAGAGGCTCTGTTTGGAATATCTGGCTGGCATTCCGTTTTCCACGCACCCTCAAGCTGTAGGGGTCATGAGGCAGTTCCAGTCCTAGACTAGACAGAGAAGTGAAGACCCCTACCTCTAGGCAATGGGCAGGAAATGGTTGAATAATATCCAACTATAGCTTGACATTGCAGCTTAGGGCACATAAAGGGACAGTGCAATTCTTTTGGCTTATTTCTGTCTTTTGATGTTTACATGTTTGATGTTCTTATATATTGCTCTAAGTTGAAGGATTACTTGATTTAATTTGACATACTTGAATTTTAAAAAGCGAGTTCAGGAACATTTTTGTTTTTGACCTAATACAATGTTAATTTTTGTGACAACTGTGTCTATTGGAAAACAATGTGTTTTCTCTATCAGAGGGATATGCATACATTTATATTTTCACCAGACTTGTTAATTGTGCTATTTAAATTTCCTACATGCTTATTTATGCTTACTTAGATTTTTTCATTATGCATCTGTCAATGATTGAAAAGTTCATGTCAAAAAGGCTCCCAGGCTGGGCGTGGTGGCTCAAGCCTGTAATCCCAGTACTTTGGGAGGCCGAAGTGGGCAGATCACGCGGTAAGGAGTTCAAGACTAGCCTGGCCAGGATGGTGAAACCCCGTCTCTACTAAAAGTACAAAAATTAGCCAGGCATGGTGGCAAACACATGTAGTCCCAGCTACTTGAGAGGCTGAGGCAAGAGAATCGCTTGAACCCAGAGAGGCTGAGGCAAGAGAATCGCTTGAACCCAGGAGGCGGAGGTTGCAGTGAGCCGAGATCGTGCCACTGCACTCCAGCCTGGGCGACAGAGCGAGACTCTGTCTCAAAAAAAAAAAGAAAGAAAGAAAAATTAAAAAAAAAAGTCTATAATGGTATATTTGTCATTTTCCTCTCTATAGCATTTGCTTTATTTATTTATTTAATTTCTTTTTTTTTTTTTTTGAGACTAAGTCTCGCTCTGTTGCCCAGGCTGGAGGGCAGTGGCGCCATCTCAACTCACTGCAAGCTCCCCCTCTCAGGTTCATGCCATTCTCCTTCCTCAGCCTCCCGAGTAGCTGGGACTACAGGTGCCCGCCACCACGCCCGGCTGATTTTTTTGTATTTTTAGTAGAGACAGGGTTTCACCGTGTTAGTCAGAATGGTCTCCATCTCCTGACCTTGTGATCTGCCCGCCTCGGCCTCCCAAAGTGCTGGGATTACAGGCATGAGCCACCGCTCCCAGCCTACTTCATTTTTCAAAAGTCGTGTTATTAGGTATACAAGCGGCTTTACATTTTAAAAGTCGTGTTATTAGGTATGGAAGTGGTCTGTTCCTTATCTGAAACACTTGGGACCAGAAGTGTTTCAGATTTTTTATTTTTTTCAGATTTTGCAATATTTGCATATGCATAATGAGATATCTTGAGGATGAGACCCAAGTCTAAACGCAAAATTCATTTGTGTTTCCTATACACCTTATACACGTACCCTGAAATTAATTTTATAGAATTATTTGATTAATTTTGTTCACAAGGTTTGTATACAATGTTTGTGTGCATTGAACCATCAGAAGCAAAGATTGCCTTCATCAGATGACCAAAGAAAAATCAATTAATGAAAAGAAGAGAAAGAAAGCAAATATTTCAGGTGTGGAAATTTTCTCTTGTGGTGTCATGTTCACATTCCAAAAGTTTCAGATTGTGGAACATTTTGGATTTTAAAATTTAGTGATGCTGACCCTGTGTAAGTTTCATAATGGTCATATCTTCTTGATGGACCAAAAATGTCATTAACATTTTAAGTACTTTGTATTTTCACCTTGAGTTTACTTTTCAGTGCTGACTGTACCTGCTTTCTTTTCATTAGATTTCCTCTAGTATTTATTTTTTCACTTTCTCTTAAAATTAGCATTTTTTACCTTACTATTTATATACTCTTTATTATTATAGTTATTTTTAAATGTTACTTTTACCTAATCTAGGAGCTTGTCTTTAGTCTGAAAATACACACTTAAATGGGTATGTTAGGAACAAAAGAGAAAGTGCTTGAATAATTGATCTAGGAACTGCTCCTAATTCCCAACTATAGAACAGTGACTCTGGCCTGTAATCCTAGTTGATCAAGCAGCTGTGGTGGGAGGATGGCTTGAGCCTGGAAGGTTCAGGGTGCAGTGGGCAATGATGGTGCCACTGTACTCCAGCTTGGGTGACAGCATGAGATTTTATGTCTAAAAAAAGAAAAAGAAAATGAAAAAGTAGAACAGTGACCATCAAAGAGGAAGGAAATAGCCTCCCTAAGACTCTTTTGAATTGTGTGGGTGATCTTTGCTTGCTCCAGTGACTGGGGTATGAGTTTAGTATGCAGAGGTAAGGAATGCTAAACATATTGCATCTGTAAATTAATTATCTCAACAAAGAAGTCATCCATTCAAAACACCCAACAGTAACCCCTTGAAAATCACTGCTCTAAAGGAAAGAAAATGAACAACAACAACCTCAATCAAACAAAAGGAGGGAAAGAAATGTTCGAATCAGTAAAGAGAAAGTGAAACTGCTGCTGTTTGCTGATGATATGATCATATACATAGAAAACCCTAAAGACTCCTTCAAAAAGCTTCTAGAACTCATAAATGAATTCAGCAAAGTTTCAGGATACAAAATTAATGTACACAAATCATACCTCTGCTGTACACCAACAGCAACCAAGCTAAGAATGAAATCAAGAACTGCAAAAAAAAAAATACTTAGGAATATTTCTAACCAAGGAGGTGAAAGACCTCTACAAGGAAAACTATAAAACACTGTTGAAAGAAATCATAGATGACACAAACAAATGGAAACACAACCCATGTTCATGAATGGGTAAATCAATATTGTAAAAATGACCATACTGCCAAAAGTTGTTTACAAATTCAATGCAAGTTCCATCAAAATACCACCATCATTGTTCCCAGAACTAGAAAAGACAATTCTAAAATTCATATGGAACCAAAGAAGAGCCCGCAGAACCAAAGCAAGACTAAGCAAAAAGAACAATTCTGGAGGCATCACATTACCTGACTTCAAACTATACCATAAGGCTGTAGTCACCTGAACAGCATGGTACCGGTATAAAAATAGGCACAAAGACCAATGGAACAGAATACAGAACCAAGAAATAAATCCAAATACCTACAGCCAACTGATATTTGACAAAACAAACAAAAACATAAAGTAAGGAAAAGACCCCCTATTCAGGCCGGGCACAGTAGCTCACGCCTGTAATCTCAGCACCTTGGGAGGCTGAGGCAGGTGGATCACAAGGTCAGGAGATGGAGACCATCCTGGCTAACACGGTGAAACCCCATCTCTACTAAAAATACAAAAAATTAGACGGGTGCGGTGGCGGGGGCCTGTAGTCTCAGCTACTCGGGAGGCTGAGGCAGGAGAATGGATTGAACCAAGGAGGTGGAGCCTGCAGTGAGCCGAGATTCTGCCACTGCACTCCAGCCTCGGTGACAGAGCAAGGCTCCGTCTCAAAAAGAAAAAAAAAGACACCCTATTCAAACAAATGGTGCTGGTGTAATTGGCAAGCCACATGTAGAAGAATGTGAATGGATCCTCATCTCTCACCTTATACAAAAGTCAACTCAAGATGGATCAAAAACTTAAAACTTGAAACCATAAAAATTCTAGAAGATAACATCAGAAAAACCCTTCAAAACATTAGCTTAGGCAAAGACTTGATGACCAAGATCCTAAAAGCAAATTCAATAGAAAAAATGATAAATAGGTGAGACTTAATTTAAGTAAAAAGTTTCTGCACAGCAAAAGAAACACTGAGCAGATTAAACAGACAACCCACAAAGGGGGAGAAAATCTTCACAATCCATACATCTGAAAAAGGATGAATATCCAGAATCTAGAAGGAACTCAAACAAATTAGCAAGAAAAATACGAAGAATCCCATCAAAAAATGGGCTAAGGACATGAATAGACAATTCTACAAAGAAGATATACAAATAACCAACAAACATATGAAAAAATGCTCAACATCACGAATGATCAGGGAAATGCAAATCAGAAACACAATGCAATACCACCTTACAGCTGCAAGAATGGCCATAATAAAAAATTTAAAAAATAATAGATGTTGGTGGGGATGGGCTGAAAAGGGAACACTTTTACACTGCTGATGGGAATATAAACTACTGCAACCACTATGGAAAACAGTGTGGTAATTCCTTAAAGAACTAAAAGTAGAACTACCATTTGATTCAACAATCCCACTACCGGGTATCTACCCAGAGGAAAAGAAGTCATTATATGAAAAAGATAGTTGCACACACATGTTTATAGCAACATAATAAGATGTTTTATAAATATAAGTTATAAAATTCCTCTATTAAAAGTTTATTAGAGTTCATCAGTGTTGATATCATCTTTCCAAATTAAAAAAATGTTTTCTGTTAGTTGTTTTGGTTTTTGTTTGTTTGTTTTGATGCATGGTCTTGCTCTGTTGTTTACTGTAGCCTCAACTTCCTGGGCATGAGTAATCCTCCCACCTCAGTGTCCCAAGTAACTGGAAATACAGGTGTGCACCACTATGCCTAATTGATTTTTAAAAATTTTCTTATAGAGTCTCACTGTGTTGCCTAGGCTGGTCTGATACATCTGTGTTCAAACAATCCTCCCACCTTGGACTGAAAAAATGTTGAGATTATAGGCACAAGCCATCAAGTCTGGTCAGAAATGTTTTTTTCTTATTTTTTTCTTTCCTTTTTTTTTTTTGAGACAGAGTCTCTTGCTCCATGCCCAGGCTGGAGTGCAATGGCACAATCTTGGCTCACTGCAAGCTCTGACTCCCAGGATCACGCCATTCTCCTGTCTCAGCCTCCTGAGTAGCTGGGACTACAGGTGC
Source organism: Homo sapiens (assembly GCF_000001405.40). Classification (NCBI taxonomy): domain Eukaryota; kingdom Metazoa; phylum Chordata; class Mammalia; order Primates; family Hominidae; genus Homo; species Homo sapiens. The sequence continues at coordinate 30,531,252 of NC_000020.11, read as the reverse complement.
CTGCCACCACGCCCGGCTAATTTTTTTGTATTTTTAGTAGAGACGGGGTTTCACGATGTTAGCCAGGATGCTTTCGATCTCCTGACCTCGTGATCTGCCCGCCTTGACCTCCCAAAGTCCTGCGATTACAGGCGTGAGCCACCAGGCCCGGCCCACAAGAATGTTTTTAACAAGCTTTCTTCCTTTCTTCTCCTCTCATCTCCCATATTTATGTCTTCTAGAATCTGAACACTAAATTTTCTTTTTTCCTCACATATAAACAATTATTTAGATTTAACCTTAAGATTTACTGTATATTCTTGCTTGTTGTACATACTGTACATCTTCCTCTATCTTGAATTTATTTATTTTGCTGGACTGTATTCTTAAGAATTTTTTTCAGACAGTCTGAAGTTGGTAAGTTCCTTGTATCCTTTTGTCTTATGTCTTCATTCTTCCCTCACAGCAAATGTTGGCTTGCCTGGGCATGTAATACTTAGACACAAGTTACAGTTCTTCATAACTTTGAAACATTATCTCTCTCTCTTTTAGTTTTTATTACTGATGAATACTATGATACCAAATTAATTCTTCAATCTCTAATAGGTAATATTTGGGTTTTACTTTTTTTCTTGAGGCATTTAGGATTTTTTTCTTTATCAGCTGAAATTTTACCATAATTTAATTTGACGAGCTTTTTGCTTCTTCCTGTTAAGCACTCAGCAGGACCTTTCAATTAGAATCTCAAATCTCTCCTCCAGCTCTGGGGTATTTTATTTTATTTTTTTCTTTTGAGGTTTTCCTCCCCATTATTGTATATTCCCTCCCTTTGTGATACTCTTATTATCCATATGTTGGTTCCTTCTTTCACGTCTCCTAATATCCATCATATACCCATCACATATCCTAATGTGCCATCTGCTTGCATTACTCTCTGGAATAATCCCTTGCCTAATCTTCCAGCTCACTAATTTGCACCTTCAGCAATATGCATCCATTATTCTGCCCATCAATTCATATTTTTGTTTAAAATTCTGAAATAAAATGATTGTCAACTTAGACCCAGCAATAGTTATGCAAACTATAAATTGCCTAAATGGAAAAATACTGGGATTCAGAAAATGTACCTCCTATGTACTCTTTATGTACTCTTAAGTGCAGGAGAAGTAACCCTCATGCTGTTACTTGATTACGTGCTGCAGCAAATGAGGTAATAATTTAAGAAAGAGGAAGACTTAGCATCTAGGGAGTAGGAAATTCAACCCTGGATTTTTTGCTGGATCACAGCGAAAGGAAGTCCCAGGAGACTGAACCAGACTGTAATCAGGCCAAGATGGTAATCAGCCCTCAAGGAAGGATAAAGATGGGGGGATCCAGGAAGGTGGAATCTGGAAAAAGTAGACTCCATACATTATAGAACATATTTGAGACACTGAAAACTTGGAGAAATAATAACTATATATAATGTATCAAAAAAGCACTTAGAAACACCAGGAAAACAAAAACTGTATGAGTGGTAGTAGAATCATAACCTCCCACATGGCTTTATAGTGAATAATATTAATAGAATTTATATTAATGCATATTAATATAATTATACTAATTGAGACAATGCTGCATTATACTAATGGAAACAATCACCCACACTAATGATACAAGTGGTGTCATATGCTATTGGTAGGTCAAGTAAGATGAGAGACGCTGAAAACTGACTGCTGGATTTGGCGATGTAATCTTAACTAGAGCAGCTATGGGGAAATGTGTGTGCCAGACAAGATGATGTGGAGGTTGTGGGAAGCATGAATGGAGTGAGTTTTAAAAGAATTGGAGAAACTGAGGCAGTGTCTCTTGAGAACTTGTGGTCAAGAACAGCAGTGAAAGGAGGGAGGGTAGCTAGGAAGGCTAATGGAATCAAATACCATTCCATGCCTACCAAGACTGGAGATGTTAACCAAGTCCTAAGTTGATGGAAATGCACTGAAAGAGAGTGATGCTGGTGACGCTGGAGAATTGAAGGGGCAGCAGCAGAAACAGAGTACTTGACTAGTCAAGAAGAGATGGGATCTTGGGCACAAGCTGAGGGGATTACAGTTAGAAGCAGGCACAGCCCAGCCATGGTGACATGAAGGCATATGGGGATTCAGTGCAAGAAATTTGCTAGATTTCATAGTAGAAGGTGGCATATTTTTCCTGATTGATTTTATTTTCTCAGTGAAAGGAGAAGCAAGGTCATGAGCTAGAAGGGAAGAGGGAGGAAGAGGGCAGGGAGAGATGTTTGGGAAGAGATGAAAAAGTGGGAAATGGTCATTCCGGCAAATGGGAGGCTGAATAGTCTAGAGAAATAGAGTAGGATTGCCTGGAAGCAGTGAGCACTGGCTCATTGTCTGTGGCCTGAAATTTAGAGGAAGACCAGGTAGCACAATTGTGTGTTTTCTTCTCCAGCCACTGCTCAGGTAAGTTTGTGATACATTTTCTTGCTGTTGTCGTTTATTTTGATTTTTTGAGACAGAGTTTTGCTCTTGTTGCCCACGCTGGAGTGCAATGATGCGATCTTGGCTCACTGCAAGTTCTGCCTCCTGGGTTCAAGCGATTCTCCTGTCTCAGCCTCCTGAGGAGCTGGGGTTACAGGTTCCCACCACCATGCCCCGCTAATTTTTGTATTTTTAGTAGAGATGGGATTTCACCATGTTGGCCAGGCTGTTCTCGAACTCCTGATCTCAGGAGATCCACCCACCTCAGCCTCCCGAAGTGCTGGGATTACAGGCATGAGCCAGCATGTCCAACAAGTTTGTGATAAAAATTTGCATTTAATAAGGATAAGAGTTTTGCCACAAAAGCAAGAGAGATAATGGAATGGGAACTCAGGATATACAAAAGGTTGTGGTTATAATGCACTATGGATTGGGTATGGAGAAAAAAATGGGAACATGAGGTGTGTGATAAAGTCATAGAAATTCATGGGTTTATGAATTGAAGTTTCCCTCAGGACAAGGTATTGCTGGAGTTGGGATACTAGAGGGAAGGAGGCATAAACTTCAGGGATGGGGTTGCAGATTGATCATGGAAACTGAGGTTTTGATTTTTTTTAAAATAAGGACTAGTGAATAGTCGTGGAGGAGGATGAATGAGATAGGATGAAGAACATCATTTGCTTTCCAAAAGTGACAGAGACATTGACATAAAATGAAAAGATACAAAGGTTTTGAAGTACAAAATGCTGTAAATATTCATGTATACATAATTTTTATATCACAAAGACCAGAAAAAAATGCATGGCTTTTGTTGTGGGTTGAATCGTGTGCCCCCCCCATCCCAAAAATATGTTCAAGTCCTAACACCCAGTACCTATGAACATAACTTTATTGACCAACAGAATCTTTGCAGATATAATCAAGTTAAGATGAGACCACATTAGATTAGGGTGGGCCTTAATGCAATGATTTCTGTCCTAAAAAACAGAAGAAACTCTGGACACAGACACACCCAGAGGGAAAACTGCCATGTTAAGATGGAGGCAAAAAGTGGAGTGATACAAGCCAGGGGATGCCAAAGATTGCTGGAAACCGAGTCTAGGAAGAGACAAGGAAGAATTCTTCTCTAGAGCTTTTAGGGAGAGCATGGCCCTGCTGACACCTTGATTTCAGATTTCTATTCTCCAGAAGTGTGAGAGAATTAATCTCTGTTGTTTGAAGCCACCCAGTTTCTGGTACTTTGTTACAGCAGCCTGAGGAAACTAATATAGTTTTCAAACATGCATTAAAAAGCACTGAGAAACTAAGATGAAGAACAAAATATAGACTACATATGACAGCTCAAGAATTATTTTCTGTGGGAGATTGCAGAAGTGACCAAATCCTTCACTCTTGACAATGTGACATTGTAGCCCCTTATTTCTTCAAGAGCTGAAGTCTATTCCCCCATCCCTGGAATGCTGGCATTGTGAATTGTTTTATCTGACAGAATGCACAACTCTGTTCAGTCTCTCAGGCCACTGTGACTGCTTTGACTTCGTGAGTGTGTGACCTGCTGAAGTATAAGACCAAGTGGGGCAGAGATCCCAGTTGAGGGCCCCACCCCACCCCAGGACCCAGCTGGTGCAGTTGACAAGGATGTGTGAGTTCTATTATATGCAGTGTCAACTTAGAAGTTGACTCAGATGCAAGCGTGAGCCTGGCTGAGGCACACTCAAACTACTGATTTATAGAATCATGAGTTAAACACATAGTAGGTTTTGTTTTGTTTTGTTTGTTTGTTTGTTTTTGAGACAAGGAATCTCCTGTCTCAGCCTCCTAAGTGGCTGGGATTACAGGTGCATGCCACCATATGCAGCCAATTTTTTTATCTTTTGTACAGACAGGGTTTTGCCATGTTTCCCAGACTGGTCTTGAACTTCACTGCCTAAGCTTCCCAAAGTGCTGGGATTAAAGGCCTGAGCCAACTCGCCTGGCTCAAATGGTAGTTTTTGAATGCAATAGATAACATATGTCCCAGAACAGAAACCATGTAGGTCACATTCATTGATCATAATGCAATTAAATTCACAAAAGGACATAAAGAGTGTTCTGTAAGTTATTTATTCACCTCAAGATTGAAAGGAACCCGAGGACACTCTTTAAATGCAGGCTTGGATTAAAGAGGAAATCAAAATAATAGTCACATACCATTTGGAAATAAATAAAAGCAAAAGAAGTACATATCCAAAACAGAGGAAAATAGCTTAAAATCATACTCAGAGGAAAACTTGTAACATTCGTTAAATTTATGAAACACAAGAGTGAAAATAAATTAACTTCCATTTCAAGAAAGTGGTAATAACAGTGGTAGCTTATATGCATTGAGGGTTTGTGTGTTCTAAGTCTTTCATGTGTATTACTTCATTTAATTCTCATGTCACACTACAAAATGGGCACTATTATATTGCTATGTTATGGATGAGGACACTGAGGTACAGAGAACAACATGTCTAGTAAAAGGCAGACCAACTACTAAACAATCTAGTACAACAAACTGAGAGGAAGTTTCCAGAGCTCAAGCTTTTTTTTTTTTTTTGGACAGAGTTTTGATCTTGTTGCCCAGGCTGGAGTGCAATGGCACTATCTCAGCTCACTGCAACCTTTGCCTCCTGGGTTCAAGTGATTCTCCTTCCTCAGCCTCCCAATTAGCTGTGATTCTAGGCATGAGCTACCACGCCCCGCTAATTTTTTGTTTTTAGTAGACATGGGGTTTCACCAAGGTTGTCAGGCTGGTCTTGAACTACTGACCTGACGTGATCCACCCGCCTCGGCCTCCCAAAGTGCTGGGATTAGAGGCATGAGCCACTGAGCCTGGCCCCATGCTCTTAACACTGAACTATCTATGTCTCAGATATACAGCAGCAAAACAAAACCAGAGAAAGTGGAAAGCAGATAATGCAGAAGAAACAGAGGTGAAGTGAAGAATATAATTCTCAGGGAATATATAGAGAACGCAAATATATTTAACAAGCAGTATAAATGCTAAATAAAACAACAACCTCAGAAGAAACCTAAGGTTCATCCCCAAATAGGAAATCTATTCTGAATGCTCTAAGAGAGAAATAACACAAACCTACAATGAGGTGATTATTAGAATAAACTTTTCCAGAGAGCAGAACCTGTTAGGAGCTTCTTAACTTATTATATTACTACCACAAATCCTAGTATAATCTTGATAACCAAATTATACCCTAACAGAGCAACAAAAAAAAAAGCCAGAAAACTAAAGGAAAATGTCTCAATGAATAGAACTGCAAAATTTTATGGAAAGCAGCAAACAAAATCCATCAACATATTAAAATTATTACAGTACAACAGTAATGCATGGAAATTCATCATTACTACATTTAGCAATATAATTCATCTTATTAAGAAATATTACTTTCTAAAACATATCACCATGAAAACAAATGTCAATCAACAGATTGAAAGTAAATTTCTTGTTAATACATATAACAGAAGAAAAAAGATCAAAACCTAGAAAAAAATACACACAAAGAGTTCATAAATAAGATGAATACCTAAACAGAAAGAAACAAGGAGTAAATAGCAAGGGGAATACAAAAGAATAAGCTTATAAGAGGATGAAGAGGCAGGGAGAGATGGCTCACACCTGTAATCCCAGCACTTTGGAAGGCCAAGGCAGGAGGATAGCTTGAGCCCAGGAGTTTGAGACAAGCCTGGGCAACATAGTGAGACCTCGACTCTACAAAAAACTTAAAAGAAAATTATCAGGTGCAGTGGTTCACACCTGTAGTTCTAGTTGCTCAAGAGACTGAGGATCGCCTGAGGCTCTAATTGCACCATTGCAGTAAAACCTGGGAGACAGGGTGAGTTCCTGTCTCAAAAAATAAGAGGATGGCCAATATCTCCTACCTGGAAAAATTAACATAATGTAATGCCATAATTGTTCACCTGATGGAAAAAGACTAAAAGGATTAATAAGAGCCAGGTTTTTTTGTTTGTTTGTTTTTGTTTTGAGATGGAGTCTTGCTCTGTCACCCAGGCTGGAGTGCAGTGGCATGTGATCTCGGTTCACTGCAACTTCCACCTCCCAGGTTGAGGCAATTCTCCTGCCTCAGTCTCCTGAGTAGCTGGGATGACAGGCGTCCACCACTTAAGCAAAAACAAACACACAAACCCCAAACTCTGTTCCTAACTATACACAAATATCTGTGTAAATATATAGAAACCGATCTGAAACAACTAAGGTGAAATTTTTAATAACGGTAATTTTGGGAGGGAAATAAAAGTAACAAGAGAGAGGAGGTTGATATAGCAATGGGGACTTTCATTTTAACTTAAAAAAATAAAACATAAGCAAATATTGTCTTAAACATGCATGTAATTTGCATTAGCAAAAAGAGAAATGAAGTCCCAGAAATATGCTGACATTTAAGAAAACACTAGCGATGTGAAGTCATTATCCTCAGCAAACTAATCCCGGAAGAGAAAACCAAACACCACGTTCTCACTTACAGTGGGAGCTGAAAAATGAGAACACATGGACACAGGAAGGGGAACAACACACATTGGGGCCTGTCATGGGGTGGGGTTAGGGGAGGGAGAGCATTAAGAAAAATAGTTAATGCATGCTGGGCTTAATACCTAGGTGATGAGTTGACAGGTGCAGCAAACCACCATGGCACACGTTTACCTATGTAACAAATCTGCACCTCCTGCCCATATACCCCAGAACTTAAAAACAAAACAAAACAAAAACAAAATGCTAGCGGCAAAATAAAGTCTCAAACTGAAAAAGTGACAGACCAATTTTTGGTTCAAATAATGGTTCTCAACCCAGGTGTCATAAAGTAAAGACAAAGAATTTGATTACATATTGCAATTAAGACATACAGCAAATGACTAGAAAAATTATTCTCAACACATATGACGGTTAGTAGCTAATTTCCTTAAGAGGAAATGGTCACAAAACAATGAAGGGGGGAAAATGAACACTTGAAAAATGGGTGAACAGCTAGGCCTGGTGGTGTGTGCCTGTGGTCCCAGCTACTCAAGAGGCTGTTGCAGCGGAATTGTTTGAGCCCAGGGATTGGAGGCTATAGTGAGCTGTGATTGGGCCACTACAGTTCAGCGTGGGTGACACAGCAAGACCTTGTATCTAATTTTTTTTTTTTTTTTTTTGAGACGGAGTCTAACTCTGTCGCCAGGCTGGAGTGCAATGGCGCCATCTCGGCTCCCTCCAACCCCTGCCTCCCGGGTTCAAGCGATTCTTCTGCCTCAGCCTCTTGAGTAGCTGGGACTACAGGCGCCAGCCACCACGCGGCTAATTTTTGTATTTTTAGTAGAGACGGGGTTTCGCCATGTTGGCCAGGATGATCTCGATATCTTGACCTCGTGATCCGCCCGTCTCGGCCTCCCAAAGTGCCGAGATTGCAGGTGTGAGCCAGTGCGCCCGGCCTAAAATTTTTTTTTAGTTAAAAATAAAATAATTAAAAAGTGGGTGAAAGACATGACAAGGCAGTGAAAAGAAAAATGACAAAAAGACATCAACTATGACCACCTTGATTGTTAGCAATAAAACGAAAACCAACATCCTTTTTATATATCAAAGACTAAACGTTTTTATTGTAAATCAAGTGATCCTCAATAGTGTGAGAAAATAGACCCGTTTACATTTTAGGCTGAGTGAAAAAAACAAAAACTGTTTTTCCTCCGTTCTCATATCACAACAATTAACACAGAAGATTTCTGTGACAGCATGTCTGGGGATTTCTCTCGGTCAGTCAAGCACACAATGCATTCTGCTCTGGAAATCAGTTGGGTGTCTTCTAATTCAATTATGAGGCTATCTACCTGGACATAGCTTTAGATTACACAGGGCTCAGTTCCACAAGACTGGCCTCCCACTCTAATACCAATGGCAAGCCCGAGGTTGTTTTACCTGTGCTTCTGACCAACTGGCTATAAATCAGGTTTCCACCACTCCTGATTTAGTTGCATTAATTTGCTCGAACAGCTCACAGCACGCAGGGAAACACATTTACCATTTTATTATAGCGGATATTGGAAAAAATTCAGAAAAAAAGATTCATGGGGCCCTGCATGGGGGGAGGGGCGCACTACCTTCCAGGAAGGTTTATCTAGAAGCTCTCTAAACCCAGCCCTTTTCAGTTTTTATGGAGACCTCATTCTATAGGCATCATGGGTTAAACCATAGGCTATTGGTGATCAACTCAACCTGAGGCTCTCAACCCTCCCTGGACATTGGGGTTGAGGCATTGTCATTCTCAGTCTGAGTAAAAGAATTTACACAAACTGAATTTTAAAACAGATTAGCATAACTGAAAACTTAATTAGATGATTGAATTATCTGGAGCCACACCTTGATATTCCTAACCCAAGCACCCTCATCCAATAAATGCTCCACCCAACTGGCCCCGGAGTCTCTACATGGTTCCAGAGCAGAAGAATATTTATACAACGTATATCACCACTTTTTCTTAAAAGTCTTTTCACTTACATGGGTAATTCTTAAGCTGCCATGCATCAGGGTCAGTGGGAGGGCTTGTTACCACACAGATCTGTGGATCTCCGGGGTTTGTGGGTTGCAAGGATGCTGCTGGTGTCAAAACCACAATGTGAGAACCACAGAACCACTACATGGTTTTCAGTGTTTAAGTGCATTTAATTCATAATGTAGTTGAGCAACAAAGCTTGTAAGTTCTCAGATTGTCCCAAATGTGTCATAAGACATCAAATCAGGAGAACAGTTTCCTACGAGGTGTAGCCTGGGAAAGTTGGGGGTGACTCATGGAAAGGAGGAGTGAAGCTCCGCCCTTTCCGCTGCCAGGCTGCGCCCAAGGCTATTTAAACCCGCCCTGTTGGGGGGCCCGAGCTCAGATCTTCACAGTGCAGAGCAGCGGCTGGAGCGTTTTGCGGGCTCAGCGTGGACTTGGAGCTTACAGCGTCTTACGACTTGGAAGTAGATTCAGAGGATAGGACAGTACACTTGGGTAAGTAAATCTCTGTCTGTCTGTCACATTGGTTTGTTCATTTCCATTTTCTTAAGGAGCACATATGTCACAACAGACAAACACACACACACACACATAAACACACACACAAACTCCTTCATTCTGGGGGTTAGAAAATTGGTAGGGGTCCCTGGGAGCTGCAGGTTTCCTAATCATGTCTGCATCTAAGAACAGTGGGGTCTTGTCTGGCTCTTCTAATGAACGGTCCCCCAGCCCGGACTCCCCAAAATCCATGCTAGCCTCACCCAGCTTCTCCTTCTCCCCTCTCAGAAACTCAGACTTAAGAGGAAGCTCCTCACCAGGGACCTGGAGCTACCATTCACCGTCCCCTAGGGCTTCACCACACTCACCTCTGTCATCAGCAGAATCCCACAAGCTCCCATTTCCCTTTCCTCACCATAATGGGCAATCAATGAAGCCATTGGGCTCTCCCATGTCCTCCTCTGGGGATTCTTTAGAGTCACCACGTTCATCAATAACATACCACATGTTCTTCCTGCCATCACCCAGTAGCTCACCCCTGGCTCTCGGGGAGTCTCCCGTGTCTCCCAGCTACTCTCCAAACAACCCCAGATTTCATCTGGAGTCAGCCCCCCACACCAAGGAATCACCTACAAACTCACGAGCCTCACAGTGCTCCTCCCCTATGTCTTTCATCTCTTCACCCCCAGGCCTCAGGGACTCGCCTGTGTCTCCCAGTTACTCTCCAGCCATCCAGAGGTTTGTGCGGGAGTCAGCCCCATGCACCCAGGAGTCCCCCAGAGACTCACAGGTCTCGGGAGATTATGAGCGGTCCCCCAGCCCTGACTCCTCAAGATTCATGCCTGTCTCACCCAGCTTCTCCCTCTCCCCTCCCAGAAATTCAGACCCAAGGGGCAGCTCCTCACCAGGGATGTGGAAGTACTCTATATCATCCCGCAGGACTTCACCACTCTCACATCCCTCATCAACAGAATTTCACAACTTTACATTTCCCTTTCCTAACCAAGCAGGACAATCACTCATGTCATTGTGCTCTCCTGTGTCCTCCTCTGGAGATTCTTCACAGTCACCTCATTCATCAATAATATATCATATGTTCTTACTGCCATCATCTAGCAGCTCACCCCCAGCCATCAATGACTATCCTGTCTGTCCCAGCTACTCTCCAACTACTCCCAGATTTCAGCGGGAGTCGGTCTCCCACACCCCAGAAACACCTACAAACTCATAGACCTCAGTGAGATCCTCGCCAGTCTCTCTCACGTCTTCACCCCCAGCCCTTACGGACCCTTCTGTCTGTCCCAGCTACTCCAAACATGCCCACATTTCAGCGGGAGTCAGTTCCAGGAACCCAGGGATCACCACCAAGCTCACCACTTTCACTAAATTACTCCTCAGTCTCTAGCACGCCTTTATCCCCAACCCTCAGGGACTCTCCTGTCTGTCCCAGCTACTCTCCAACCACACCCGCATTTCAGCGGGAGTCAGTTGCAGGCACCCAGAAATCACCACCAAACTCACCAATTTCACTGTGTTACTCCCCAGTCTCTCTCATGTCTTCACCATCCCTCAGGGACTCTCCTGTCTGTCCCAGCTACTCTCCAACCACGCCCAGATTTCAGCGGGAGTCAGTTCCAGGCACCCCGAAGTCACCATCAAACTCTCCAGTTTCACTGAGTTACTCCCCAGTCTCTCTCACATCTTCACCCCCAGCCCCCTGGGACTCTCCTGTCTGTCCCAGCTACTCTCCCGCCACGCTCAGATTTCAGCCAGAGTCAGCCTCCTACACTCCGGAATCACCTACAGACTCACAGACCTCACTGAGATCCTCCCTGGTCTCTCTCAGTTCTTTGCCCTCAGCCCACATGGACTCTTGTGTCTCTTTCAGCTACTCTCAAAATTTCTCTAGATTCCAGCTGGAGTCAGTTCCAGGCACCCAGGACACACCACCAAACTCACCAATTTCACTGACTTACTCCCCAGTCTCGCTCATGTTGTCACCCCCAGCCCTCAGGGACTCTTCTGTCTCTCTCAGCTACTCTCCAACCATCTCCAGATTTCACCTGGAGTCAGCTTCCCACACCCAGGAATCACCTACAAACTCACGGACCTTACTGCAACCCTCCCCCATTTCTTTCACCTCTTCACCCCCAGCCTTCAGGGACTCTCCTGTGTCTCCCAGCTCCTCTCCAGACTTCCCCAGATTTCTGCCGCAGTCAGCCCCAGGCACTCAGGAGAACCATAGACACTCACAGGCCTCATGAGACTATCTCCCTATGACCTGTATCTATACAGGGATGGCTCCCACGTATCCCTCAGTGACCCCAAACACATCTCCACTTACACTCAGACACTCCCAGGGCCTGACAGCTACTCCCCGTTACTGTCCTTCACTTCGAAGCCCTGGCCAATCTACCAGCCAACATGACGCAGTTACCTGGCCATTTCTCCACATTTCTCGTGAGGGCCCCACACCCAGCCGCAGAAGAGTCCCTCCTGCATTCCATCCTCACACACAGGCCTGTCCATCTACTTGCTACTGTCACACTCTTGCCAGCAGAAGAGGCCCCTGTAATGGCTGATATCACCACCCAGGCTATCCTCACCGGACAGCTGTGCAGCGGGACCCTCCTGCTGGCCCACGTGGCTGCCAGAGCCCATGCTGACATGAACCTCCAGCATGTCGGCGTCCCTGCGGGCGACACTACCGGTGACATGGCTAGCATGACCCTCCTCCCTGGCAGTGACACTGTTGATGTGAGCCCCAGTTTCAGATCTGTCATTTGTAAATAGGACGATTTTCCCTTTTCTCTCTCTCTTCCATTCACAGGGCTTTTCATTCTCTCTGTTTCTGCCTCCCTTTCAGATATTTACTCACCTTTTTCTCATTCACTACATCTGCCGTGGTCTCGATGAGAGTGTGCCACATAAGTTTCCCCCATTAAAAGTCATGAATTGAGTGGCTTTTAGTATATTTGTGGTTGTGCATATTCAATTTTAATTCGCAATCCATTTTAGAACATTTTATCACCCCCGACCAGAGAAAAACCCTGTAAACATTATTCACTCCTCATTCTGTCTCAAACCCTCTCCCTGACCCTCAGCCCTAGGTAACAACTACATAGAGCGATCAACCTCATATCCATAGATTTGCATATTGTGGACATTTCCTATAAACAAAATTGCACAGTATGTGAGACTTTATGACTGACTTTACACTTAGCACAATATTTTCAAGATTCATCCACATTGTAGTCTTACCCACAGTGGGAAACCATTTTTTTTTTTTTTTTTGGTTTTAGTATCACCGGGTGTTTTCTCCTTCCTTCCTTCCTTCCGTCCTTCCTTCTTTCCTTCCTTCCTTGCTTCCTCCTATTTCTCTCTTACTCCTTCTGCCCTCTCCCATTCATATGCCTTAGGTGCATCCTACATTCTGTGAATTTTTGGGAAATCCTTGACAGTTGCAGGAAAATTGTGTTATTGTTATTATTTACCACTATCTTTCTTTCTTGGTTCTCCATCAATTGTAAACATCTATTGGTTTCTCCCAAGTCACTCAGTATAATTTAATTAGGTACACTTGTTTTTCTTTATACAGCTATTTCTGGAGTATAGGGTCAAATACTCATAAATCCAGTGTAACTCAAAAACTCATCTAATATCCCAATAAACCCATCATAAAGTTGAAAAATCATAAATCAAACCATCATAAGTGATGGTTTGTCTGTGGATATGGGCTTCATCAATTCCATTGTATTCCATAATGCTGTATACCATTAACAATGGCAGACTGACAGGGAGTGGATATTGATAGCATTTTGAAAATCAGTTATCAGAGGGATACATTAACCTGACTGAATAACTGATCTAATTGTTTTAGCACAATGAATGATTATGGGAAATGTTTTGAGACAGAGTAGTACATTTGTGAATGAAATTTTATGGCTTTTTTCACTTAGTAGGAACCTTTGTGTGTGGAAAACTGAGAAAATTGCTTTCTGCTGTAGAGTCTGGCATTCATTGTAGATTAAAGCTTATTTTTCTGTGAATAAATCTTATTCAATAAAGTACTATTCTTTAAAATAAGAAAAAACACTGATGATGTGAAGTCATTATCCTCAGCAAACTAATCCAGGAAAAGAAAACCAAACACCGCATTCTCACTTATAATGGGAGCTTAAAAAGGAGATCACATGGACACAGCAAGGGGAACAACACACACTGGGGCCTTTTGGGAGGCAGAGCATTAAGAAAAACAGCTAATGCATGCTGGGCTTAATACCTAGGTGATGGGTTGACAGGTTCAGCAAACTACCGTGACACACGTTTACCTTTGTAACAAATCTGCACATCCTGCACATATACCCCAGAACTTAGAAACAAAAGGAAACAAAACAAAATGAAAAAACTATAACAAAACCCAAGCAGCCAAATAAAGTTTCAAACTGAGAAAGTGACAGACCAATTTTTGGTTCAAATCATGGTTCTCAACCCAGGTGCCATAAGGTCAGGATAAAGAATTTGATTACATATTGTAAATAAGACATACAGCAAATGACTAGAAAAATTATTCTCAATGTATGGGTGTCTTCTAATTCAATGATGACACTATCTACCGGGACATAGCATGAGATTCCAAAGGGCTCAGTCCCACAAGACTGGCCTCCCACTCTAACAACAATGGGAAGCCCTACGTTATTTTACCTGTGCTTCTTAGCAACTGGCTATAAATCAGGTTTCCACCACTCCCAGTTTTAGTTGCATTAATTTGCTGGAAGAGCTCACAGCACTCAGGGAAAGACTTCCATTTACCATTTTATTATAGCGGATATTGCAAAAAATTCAGAAAAAAGATTTTGGGCCCAGCATGTGGGGAGGGGCGCACTACCATTCAGGAAGTGTTATCCAGAAGCTCTCTAAACCCAGTCCTTTTGGGTTTTTATGGAGACCTCATTCTATAGGCATGATGGGTTAAACCATAGGCTATTGGTGATCAACTCAACCTGAGGCTCTCAACCCTCCCTGGAAATTGGGGTTGAGGCTTTGCCATTCTCAGTCTGAGTAAAAGAATTTACACAAACGGAATTTTAAAACAGATTAGCATAACTGGAAACTTAATGAGATGATTGAATTATCTGGAGCCACACCTTGATATTCCTAACCCGAGCACCCTCATCCAACGAATGCTCCACCCAACTGGCTCCCAAGTCTCTACATGGTTCCAGAGCAAAAGAATGTTTATACAACGCATATCTCCACTTTTTCTTCAAAGTCTTTTCGCTTACACAGGTAATTCTTAAACTGCCATGCATCAGGGTCAGTGGGAGGGCTTGTTACAACACAAATTTGTGGATCTCCGGGATTTGAGGGTTGCAAGGGTGCTGCTGGTGTCAAAACCACAACATGAGAACCACAGAACCACTAGATGGTTTTCAGTGTTTCAGTGCATTTAATTCATAATATATTTGGCCAAGAAAACTTGTAAGTTCTTAGATTGTCCCAAATGTGGCACATGAAATCAAATCAGGAGAACAGTTTCCTACGAGGTGTAGCCTGGGAAAGTTGGGGGTGACTGATGGAAAGGAAGAGTGAAGCTCTGCCCTTTCCGCTGCTAGGCTGCGCCTGAGGCTATTTAAACCCAGCCTGGCGGGCCTGTACTCAGATCTTCGCCGAGCGTAGCAGCGGCCGGAGCGTTTTGCGGGCTCTGCGTGGACTTGGAGTTTACAGCGTCTTGTGACTTGGAAGTGGATTTAGAGGACAGGACAGAACACTTGGCTAAGTGAATCTCTGTCTGTCTGTCTGTCTGTCTCATGGGTTGGTTTATTTCCATTTTCTTAAGGAGCACATACCTCACACCACACACACACACACACACACATACACACATACTCCTTCATTCTGCGGGTTAGAAAATTGGTAGGGGTCCCTGGGAGCTGCAGGTTTCCTAATCATGTCTGCACCTAAGAAAAGTAGGATCTTGTCTGGCTGTTCTTATGAACGGTCCCCCAGCCCGGACTCCCCAAGATCCATGCTAGCCTCACCCAGCTTTTCCCTCTCCCCTCTCAGAAACTCAGACTTAAGAGGAAGCTCCTCACCAGGGATCCGGAGCTACCATTCACCATTCCCTAGGGCTTCACCACACTCACCTCTGTCATCAGCAGAATCCCACAAGCTCCCATTTCCCTTTCCTCACCATAATGGGCAATCAATGAAGCCATTGGGCTCTCCCGTGTCCTCCTCTGGGGATTCTTTAGAGTCACCACGTTCATCAATAACATACCACATGTTCTTCCTGCCATCACCCAGTAGCTCACCCCTGGCTCTCAGGGAGTCTCCCGTGTCTCCCAGCTACTCTCCAAACAACCCCAGATTTCATCTGGAGTCAGCCCCCCACACCAAGGAATCACCTACAAACTCACGAGCCTCACAGTGCTCCTCCCCTATGTCTTTCATCTCTTCACCCCCAGGCCTCAGGGACTCGCCTGTGCCTCCCAGTTACTCTCCAGCCATCCAGAGGTTTGTGCGGGAGTCAGCCCCATGCACCCAGGAGTCCCCCAGAGACTCACAGGTCTCGGGAGATTATGAGCGGTCCCCCAGCCCTGACTCCTCAAGATTCATGCCTGTCTCACCCAGCTTCTCCCTCTCCCCTCCCAGAAACTCAGACCCAAGGGGCAGCTCCTCACCAGGGATGTGGAAGTACTCTATATCATCCCACAGGACTTCACCACTCTCACATCCCTCATCAACAGAATTTCACAACTTTACATTTCCCTTTCCTAGCCAAGCAGGACAATCACTCATGTCATTGTGCTCTCCCGTGTCCTCCTCTGGAGATTCTTCACAGTCACCTCATTCATTAATAATATACCATATGTTCTTACTGCCATCATCCAGCAGCTCACCCCCCGCCATCAATGACTCTCCTGTCTGTCCCAGCTACTCTCCAACTATGCCCAGATTTCAGCGGGAGTCAGTCTCTCACACCCCAGAAACACCTAGAAACTCACAGACCTCAGTGAGATCCTCACCAGTCTCTCTCACCTCTTCACCCCCAGCACTTATAGACCCTCCTGTCTGTCCCAGCTACTCTCCAACCACGCCCACATTTCAGCGAGAAGAGGTCTTGGGGCCAAAACGATCTCAGTCTATTCTGTAACTTTAAATGGGTAAGAAGCCTGGCTGGCTGACATGGAGCTGGGCGTGGAATGCAAGTGCTTCGTAGGCTACTTTTGGTAAGCAGAACTGGCACTGTGGGATGAACCGAATGCCATGTTAAGATGCCCGATGCCAATGCTCATCACATCCCAGAAAAGGTGTTGGTTGATATAGACAGCTGGACGGTGGCCATGGAAGTTGGAATCCGCTAAGGAGTGTAACAACTCAGCTGCTGAATCAACTACTCCTGAAAATGGATGGAGCTGGAGCGTCGGGCCCATATCCGGCTGTTGCCAGCAGTTGAGAGTGGACAGGAGTGGCAGGGGCAGTATGCCCGTGTGAGTGTGGTGGGGGTCCTCCCCTCCCCTCCTCCCCCCTCCCCTGCAGCCCCACAGAGTCTACGCCGGGAGGAGTAGGAGGGCCGCTGCGGTAAGCTTTGAAGCCTAGGGTGTGGGTCCAGGTGGATCCGCCACAGGTGCAGATCTTGGTGGTAGTAGCAAATTTTCAAACGAGAGCTTTGAAGGCCGAAGTGGAGAAGGGTTCCATGTGAACAGCAGTTGAACATGGGTCTCAGGTGAACAGCAGTTGAACATGGTTCATTTGGTCCTGAGAGATAGGTGAGTGCCGTTCCGAAGGGATGGGTGATGTCCTCCGTTGCCCTCAGCCGATTGAAAGGGAGTCGGGTTCAGATCCCTGAATCCAGAGTGGCGGAGATGGGCACCATGAGGCGTCCAGTGCGGTAATGTGACTGACCCTGGAGAAGCATGTGGGAGCGCTGGGGAGGGTTCTCTTTTCTTTGTGAAGGGCAGGATGCCCCGGAATGGGTTCGACCCGAGAGAGGGGACTGTACCTTGGAAAGCATCGTGGTTCTGGTGGCATCTGGTGAGCTCTGGCTGGCCCTTGAAAATCCAGGGGAGACAGTGTAAGTCTTACGCAGGGCCATACCCATGTCTGCAGCAGATCTCCAAGATGAGCAGACTCTGGCATGTTGGAACAATGTAGGTAAGGGAAGTCAGCAAGCCGGATCCGTAACTTCGGGATAAGTATTGGCTGTAAGGGCTGGGTCGGTTGGGCTGGGTGCATGCCACCGCTGGAAGAGGCCCTGCAGCGCCCCCATGCCCCAGGGACGCCTGTCGTGGCCCTCCTCTGCCCCAACCCGCGTGCTGCTCGCTCCCTCCCCCGCCCCCTCTCTCCCTGTCCTCCCCCTCTCTGGTGGTGGCGTGTGGGGGAGGAGGGGTGGCGGTGGCTATACGGCCCCGGTGGCAGGGCATGATCTCCCGTGAGGGGGAGCTGGTGGTGGCGGTGACTCTGGACGCGAGCCAGGCTCTTCCCATGGATTGCCCCAGTTGTGGCCGCCCATGGGGAGCCCGGTGGGTGCTGGCGTGTCCTGTCTTGCTCCGCGCTGTCATGCATTTCAGCGCGGGCAGGGAGTGATTGGGTGTCGGTGGGTGGCGGGCGGGGTGGTTCATTCCCCCACCTCCCCCCGGCCCCATCTGTCTCCTGTTCCCCACTCCGTGGAGGTGGCGGGCCACGTGCTGGTCCCTGCCACCAGGGCGGCGGTTCCGTGCAGCGCCTCGGCTGGTGCTTAGCAGTCGACGTATAGAACTGGTGTGCACCAGGGGAATCCGACTGTTTAAACAAAGCATCGCGAAGGCCCTCGGGGGGTGTTGCAAAGTGATTTCTACCCAGTGCTCTGAATGTCAAAATGAAGAAATTCAATGAAGTATGGGTAAATGGCGGAAGTAACTATGGCTCTCTTAAGGTAGCCAAATGCCTCGTCATCTAACTAGTGACGTGCATGAATGGATGAATGAGATTCCCACTGTCCCTACCTACTTACTATCCAGTGAAACCACAGCCAAGGGAATGGGGTTGGTGGAATCATTGGGGAAAGAAGAACCTGTTGAGCTTGACTGTAGTCTGGCATGGTGAAGAGACATGAGAGGTGTAGAATAAGTGGGAGGTCCCCGGTGCCCCCTATCCCCGTGAGGGGGTGGGGTGGGGTCCTGTGGGCTGCCCATGGAATACTACTACTCTGATCATTTTTTCACTGATCTGGTGAGGCAGGGGGTGAGCCCCGAGGGGCTCTCCCTTCTGGCGCTAAGTGCCCAGCTGCATGCTGGCCGGGTGTTGACCCATTCTGAGGACAGTGCCAGGTGGGGAGTTTGGGGCAGTACACCTGTTGAACAGTAATACAGATGTCCTAAGGCGAGCTCAGGGAGGACAGAAACCTCTTGTGGAGCAGAAGGAGAAAAGCTCGCTTGATTGTGATTTTCAGTGCGAATACAGACTGAAAGCCGGGTTTGACGATCATTCTGACGTTTTTAAGCAGGAGCTGTTAGGAAGTTACCACAAGGGATAACTGGCTCGTTGCGGCCAAGCGTTCATAGGGATGTTGCTTTTTGATCCTTTAATGTTGGTTCTTCCTATCATTGTGAAGTAGAATTCACCAAGCATTGGATTGTTCACCCACTAATGGGGCATGTGAGCTGGATTTAGACCTTCGTGAGACAGGTTAGTTTTACCCTCCGTGATGTGTGTTGTTGCCATGGTAATCCTGCTCAGCATGAGAGGAATCACAGGTTCAGACATGTGCTTGGTTGAGGAGCCAATGGGGTGAAGCTACAGTCTGTTGGATTGTGACTGAACGCCTCTAAGTCAGAATCCCGCCCAAGAGGAAGGATACATCAGCGCCCTGGAGCCTTGGTTGGCCTTGGCTAGCCGGTTCCCCGCCCCCGCTGGTGGGCTGCCTCGCCCTGGGTGGGGTGTGCCCCACCATGTGCCAGGACTGGGTCCGGTGCAGAGTGCCCTTCTTCCTGGGAAGGGTGTGGCTGAAAAGGCGGCCTCCTTGCCCGTCATGCAACACACGTTCGTGGGGAACCTGGTGCTAAACCATTGGTAGACGACCTGCTTCCGGGTTGGAGTTTGGCCACACATGGCCAACCTCCACTTGTGGCTGCTCCTGGGTCAGGCCTCTGGGGTCGACCAGCTGACGCCTGAGGGTGTGAGACAGCTGGCGGCTCGCCATGTCCCAGGTCGACCAGCAGGCCCTCTGGACCGAGCGGTGTGCAGGGGTGCCCGTTGGGATGAGCTGGATCCGGAGCGTCCGCATCTCGGTCGGAACCTCCAGGGTCAACCAGCTGCTGCCCGCGAGCTCCGGACTTAGCCGGCGGCTCCCTGTGTCCCAGATTGGCCAGCAGGCGACCAGTGGCGGTCCCACTGGACGGTGCGGTGCACCCATGTGAGGGCACCTATCCCCGTTCACCCGCGGGTGGCCCTCACCAGCCTCAGCCTTTGGTGGAGCTGGGACCACGTGGAACTCCCTCTCCTACATTTTTTTCAGCCCCACTTTGTTTGCTTCCGCGGTACTTTTAAGAGGGAGTCACTGTTGCCATCAGTCAGTAATACTTCCTCCTTTTGTTTTTTTGGTTTTGTCTTGTGTTTTTTTTTTTTTTTTTTTCCTTTCTTTCTTTCCTTTTTCTGGAGATGGAGTCTCGCTCTGATGCCCAGGCTGGAGCTGGAGCTGGAGTGCAATGGTGCCTTCTTGGCTCACTGCCACCGTTGCCTCTGCCTCCAGGGTTGAAGCGAACAGCAATTTTTGTATTTTGAGTAAAGACGGAATTTCACCATATTGGCCAGGCTGGTCTCGAACGCCTGACCTTCCGCCCACCTCGGCCTCCCAAAGAGTGCTGGGAGTACAGGCGTGAGCCACTGAGCCTGGACAATTCCTTTTTTTCTTCAATCTTATTTTCTGCACACTGCTGTGTATAAATATACATATATATATATATATACACACACACACACACACATACACACATACATACATACAAACACATAAATATGTAGTGATAAAACTATATGGATATTTCCATAATAAATACATGTTTATATTATAAATGTTAATTTTAATGTATGAATATGTATTAAATGAAAACCCATTTCATTTACATATACATGTGTATGTATATCCTTCCTTCCTTCTTTCATTTATTATTTTTAATTTTTGCTTATTTTCTTTCCTTTTTGGGCCTGCCTAGTCTTCTCACTCTGGGCTCTGGTGACAGCCTCCCAAGTAGCTGGGACTACAGGGATCTCTTAAGCCCGGGAGGCAGAGGCTAACGTGGGCTGTGATCGCGCACCTCCACTCCAGCTTAAGTGAGGTGGGGTGAGGTGGGATGGGGTGGGGTGGGATGGGGAGAAAACAATTGATTGTGATCTTAATTACCTTTCAGCTTTATTGATACCCTCTTATTTCCTTGTTTATTGTCATGGGTTATTCTATGTCATTGTCATGTTCATTGTTTGCTTGCTTGCTTGCTTATTTCCTTCCTTCCTTCCTTCCTTCCTTCCTTCCTTCCTTCCTTCCTTCTTTCCTTCCTTACTGGCAGGGTCTTCCTCTGTCTCTGTCGCCCAGGATCACCCCAGCCTCAACGCTTTGGACCGACCAAGCAGTCGTCCTGCCTCTGATCTCTCCCATCCCCATTACTTGGGACTACAGGCACGCACCACAACACTGGTTGACTTTTATGTTGTTTCTCATGTTTTCCGTAGGTAGGTAGGTATGTAAGTATGTATGTATGTATATATGTGAGTGAGATGGGGCTCGGGGTTCTATCATGTTGCCCAGGCTGGTCTCGATCTCTTGTTCTCAAGCAATTCACCTGCCTGCCTCGGCCGCCCACACTACTGCTATTACAGGCGTGAGACACTGCACCTGGCTTATTCTATATTTGCCTGCCTGCCTGCCTGTATATCAATCATCTTGTTTTTAGTACGGATGTGCTCTCGCTTTGTTTTCCATGCTCTGGGCACACATAATCTCTTTTTAAACTTCTATGATTATTATTGCAGGTGTCATCTCACATGTCGAGGTGATGTCAAACTTTAAGGCTCCAGTAATCATCCCACATCGGCCTCCCAGAGTGCTGTGATGACACTTGTGGGCACAGTACGCTCTGGTCATATTTGTCATGTGTCAGTTCTTTCCGTTTTTAGTATGGGGACTGGAAACAAAATTTTGAAACGCATCTCACCAATCTGCCTTTCCTTCCTTCCTTCCTTCCTTCCTTCCTTCCTTCCTTCCTTCCTTCCTTCCTTCTTTCCTTTCTTTCTTTCTTTCTTTCTTTCTTTCTTTCTTTCTTTCTTTCTTTCTTTCTCTCTTTCTTTCTTTCTTTCGACAGAGTTTCACTCTTGACGCCCAGGGTGGAGTACAATGGCGCGATCTCAGCTCACTGCAACCTCTGTCTCCCAGGTTCAAGTGATTCTCCAGCCTCAGCCTTCCCGAGTAGCTGGAATGACAGCAATGTGCCATCATGCCTGACTAATTTTTCTATTTTTAGTACAGATGGGGTTTCTCCATCTTGGTCAGGCTGGTCTTGAACTTCTGACCATTGGAGAATTTTAACTTTCTTGGTGGTTGTTTTTCTTTTTCTTTTCTTTTCTTTTCTTTTCTTTTCTTTTCTTTTCTTTTCTTTTCTTTTCTTTTCTTTCTTTCCTTCTCCTCCCCCCTACCCCCACCCCCAGCCTCCCATGTCCTCCTCCTCCTCCTTTTTCATTTCCTTCAGCTGGGCTCTCTTACTTGTGTTGCTCAGTTGCTCACACTGGTCTCAAACTCCTGGCCTTGACACTTCTCCCGTCACATCCACTGTCTGGTTGTTGAAATGAGCATCTCTTGTAAAATGGAAAAGATGAAAAAACTAAAGAGACAAAAAGCACGGAGTGAACTTTTCTCTTGCCGTCTCCCAGGGTGTACCTTGGACCCAAAAAGACGGAGGGAGTTTGGCTGAGTGGGTTTTCAGTGCTAAATCCTCCTGAGGGCCTCCTTCCCTCTCCCCCTTGTCCCCGCTTCTCCCGCAGCCAAGGCTCCCACCACGGCCATGACATTTTCCATAGGAGAGGTATGGGAGAGGACTGACGCGGCTTCCAGATCTATATCCTGCCAGACGTCTCTGCCTCAGCATCCCCCACCGGCTACCTGCCACCTTCCAGGGAGCTCTGAGGCGGATGCCCCCATCACGTCCCGCTACCCTCCCACAGCTGGCCTTTGCCAGGCAACGGCAGGGGAACCGCTTTGACGCTGCTTTCGAATCCTCCGGCGAAGACTTCCACCAGATGCCCCGGGTGGGCCGGATGGGATGAGACTGGCCCACCCCAGACCGTGCTGTTCTTGGGGGTGGGTTGACGTACAGGGTGAACTGGCAGCCCCAGCATTGTAAAGGGTGCGCAGGTATGGAAATGTCACATAGGATGCCCTCCTTCCCATCAGGCTGCCTTCAGCTTACTCAGGCGTGAAGACAACTTCCCATCAGAACCTCTTTTCTTCCCTTTCTCCACCACACACATGAGACGCATGAGAGGGAGAAACAGCTCAATAGATACTGCTGACCTTCATTTGTGGAATCCTCAGTCATCTACAGACAGACAGGTGACTAGACAGGGACCCAAATCAAACACAATTTCTGGGTTCTCATGGTGGGATTGGTCTCTCTCTCTCCTACACACACACACACACACACACACACACACACAATTTCCACACCTAGTTCACAAACCACACTCACTCTTTTCACAGTATGCAGGCTGAGTAAAACCCACCCCACCCTCCACGCGTCGGCTGATGAAACCATTTCTCTACAATTTATTAAAAAGATTATCTGGGCCTGGCACTGTAGCTCATGCCTGTCATTCCAGCGCTTTGGGAGGCCGAGGCGGGTGGATCACTTGAGGCCAGGAGTTCAAGACCAGGCTGGCCAACATGGCGAAACCCCATCTCTCTGAAAAATAGAACAATTAGCCAGGCCTGGTGGCATGGGCTTGTAATCACAACTGCTCAGGAGACTGGGGTGGGTGAGTTGCTCCAACCAGGGAGGCCGAGGTTGCAATGAGCTGAGATCATGCCACGGCAATCCAGCCTGGATGACAGAGCGAGACCCTGTCCCAACAGAATCTTAATATCATTATAAGATGAGTTGCGCGTGGTGATGGCCATCTGTAGTCACAGCTACTCGGGAGGTTGAGATAAGGAGAAGATCACTTGTGGCCCCACAGGTCGAGGCTTCAGTCAGCTGTGATCCACTGTATCCTGGGCCGTCACCAGTCAAGGAGATATGCCCTCGCCCCATTTTCTTTTTTTGTCTTCCCTTCTCTTTTCTTCTTTTTTCTTCTCTTTTCTTTCTTTCTTTCTTTCTTTCTTTCTTTCTTTCTTTCTTTCTTCCTTCCTTTTGTTTCTTTCTTCTTTCTTTCTCTCTTCTTTCTTTTTCTCTCTTTATTTCTTTCTTTCTTTCTTTTTTTCTCTCTTTCTTTCTTTCTTTCTTTCTCTCTTTCTTTCTTTCTTTCTTTCTTTCTTTCTTTCTTTCTTTCCTTCTTTCTTCTTTCCTGCCTTACTGCCATCCTGCCTTTCTTCTTTCCTCCCTTCCTCCTTTCCTTCTTTCATCCTGCCTTGGCCTGCCAAAGTGCTGGGATGACTGGCATGAGGCACCGTGCTTGCTTGGCCTAAAGGGACACCCTTTGAAAGTAAGACACAGAAAGTGCCTTCCAGTGATCTGATTGACTGATTTAGACACAGCATCTAACTCTGTCACCCTGGCAGTGGTGCCATCGTAACTCATTCACTGCAGCGTGGATGCTCCTGGACTCCAGTGATCCTTCCACCTCAGCCTCCAGAGTACAGTACCTGGAACAACAGGCATGCGCCGGTGTGCCCAGACCATTTTTAATTTTTTTTTTTTTCCTGAGACAGAGTTTCTCTCTCGTTGCCTAGACTGCAGTGCAGTGGCGCGATCTTGGCTCACCGCAACCTCAGCCTCCCGGTTCAAGCGATTCTCCTGCATCAGCCTCCCGAGTAGCTGGGATTGCAGGCATGCGCCACCACGTCTGGCTGATTTTGTATTTTTAGTGGAGACGGGGCTTCTCCATGTTGGTCAGGCTGGTCTCTAGCTCCCGACCTCAGATGATTCGCCTTCCCCGGCCTCCCGAAGTGCTGGGATGGCAGGCGTGAGCCACCGCGCCCGGCCTTCATTTTTAAATGTTTTTCCACAGACAGGGTCTCATCATTTTTTGCAACCCTCCTGACCCGGCGTCTCAAAGTGCTGGCGTGACGGGCGTGAGCCACTACGCCTGGACTCCGGAGAATGATTCATGACCACGACCGCTGTACTGATTCTTTCTTTCTTATTTATTGATGAATTATTTTCTTATTTATATTTGTTTATTTATTTTCAGACCGAGTCTCGCTCTGGGCGAGGCGAGGCGAGGCGCATCGCTTTGGAAGCCGAGGCACCGCCTTGTAAAGCCCCATTCATATGCACAAAGCCCTATTCCCTTCCTGGAGTTGGAGCTGATGCATTCCATAGCCTTGGGCTTCTCTCCATTCAGAAGCTTTGACAGGCGCAACCCCACCCAAAGGCTGGCTGCAGCTGAGGATTAACGGGTGTGATGGGGCTGGAAAGTGGGTCCCCTATTTTCGATAGCTCAGCCAAAACATTCCCCGACCCCCATCGCTTGCTCACCCTTTGAGATCCCCCGCCTCCACCGCCTTGGAGGCTCACCTGTTACTTTAATTTCTGTCTTTCTCCCTTTCTTGCGTTTGAGGAGGGGGTGCAGGAATGAGGGTGTGTGTGGGAAGGGGGTGCGGGGTGGGGACGGAGGGGAGAGTCCTAAGGGCCGATTTAGTGTCATGCCTCTTTCACCGCCACCACCGAAGATGAAAGCAATGATCAGCTAAATACCGTGTGTTCTCATCTATAAGTGGGAACTTATAGATGAGAGTTCTTGCATGGGCAGAACTAGGGGGACAAGAGACGCGGGAGCCTACTTGAGGGAGGAGTGGAAGGAGAGACAGCTTCAGGAAAAAACAAAACAGGAAAACCGTTGGACACAGCGCTGAGTATCCGGGTGATGAAATCATCTGCACACTGAACCCCCCTGTCAGAAGTTTACTTATGTAACAGTCTTGCACATGTATGCTTGAACAAGAAATAAAAGTTAGGGGGGAGCAGGGGGAGGAAGGGAGAGAGAGAGAGAGAAGTAAAATGAAACACCACCTCCTTGACCTGAGTCAGGGGGTTTCTGGCCTTTTTGGGGGAAAGTTCAGCGACAATGCAGTATTTGGGTCTGTTTTTTTTTTTTTTTTTTTTTATTCTTTTCTTTTTTTTGGACTGAGTCTCTCTCGCTCTGTCACCCAGGCTGCGGTGCAGTGGCGCTCTCTCGGCTCACTGAAACCACTGCTTCCTGGGTTCCAGTGATTCTTCTTCAGTAGCTGGGATTACCGGCGCGCACCACCACAGCCGGCTAATATTTCTATTTTTAGTAGAGACGGGGTTTCTCCATGTTGGCCACGCTGGTATCAAACCCTTGACCTCAAGTGACCCACCCTCCTGGGCCTCCCAAAGTGCTGGGACGACAGGCCTGAACCACCGTGCCTTTAAAAGCACGGGCCCTGCCACCTTTCGTTGTGGCCCTTACGTTCAGAATGACGTGTCCTCCCTGCCATAGGTTGACTCCTTGAGTCCCCTATGCCATTGCACTCTAGCCTGGGCAGCAAGAGCGAAACTCCGTCCCCCCACCTTCCCGCACAAAAATAAATAAATAAATAAATAAATAAATAAAATCTCTACGTGTGTTCCAAAGAGTGATTTCTAAGAAATGGCACTGTACACTGAACGCAGTGGCTCACGTCTGTCATCCCGAGGTCAGGAGTTGGAGACCAGCCTCGCCAACATTGTGAAACCCCGTCTCTACTGAAAATACGAAACTGAGTCAGGCACGGTGGGGCAGGCACCTGTAATCCCAGCTACACGGGAGGCTGTGGCAGAAGAATCGCTTGAACCTGGCAGGTGGAGGTTGCAGTGACCCAAGGTTGCGCCACTGCACTACAGCCTGGGCGACAGAGTGAGACTCAGTCTCCAAATAAATAAATAAATAAATAAATGAAAGAAAGAAAAAAAGAAAAGAAAAGAAAGAGAAAATAAAAGAAAAAGCACTGTATCGCTACTGGGCTAGGACCTTCTCTCTTTCTATCTGTTTCTCTCTGTCTCTCTGTGTTCGTCTCTGTCTTTCTCTCTCTGTCTCTTTCTCTGTCTCTTTCTTTCCCTCTGTCTCTGTCTCTCTGTCTCTCTCTCTCTCTGCCTGTCTCACTGTGTCTGTCTTCTGTCTTACTTTCTCTGCCCGTCTGTCTGTCTCTCTCTCTCCCTCCCTGTCTGTTTCTCTCTGTCTCTCTGTCTGTGTTTTTCTCTGTCTATCTCTTTCTCTGTCTGTCTGCCTCTCTCTTTCTTTTTCTGTGTCTCTCTGTCTGTCTCTATCTCTCTCTGTCTCTCGCTCTCTCTGCCTATCTTCTGTCTTACTGTCTTTCTCTGCCTATCTGTCTCTCTCTGTCTCTCCCTCCCTTTGTTTCTCTCTCTCTCACTCTCTCTCTGTCTGTTTCTCTGTCTCTCTCTCTCTGTTTCTCAGTGTCTCTCTCTGTCCATCTCTGTCTTTCTCTGTCTGTCTCTTTCTCTCTGTTTCTGTCTCTCTGTCTCTCTGCCTGTCTCTCTCACTGTGTCTGTCTTCTGTCTTACTCTCCTTCTCTGCCTGTCCGTCTGTCTGTCTGTTTCTCTCTCTCCCTCCCTTTCTGTTTCTCTCTGTTTCTCTTTCTGTTTCCTGTTTCTCTCTCTCTCTGTCTGTCTCTCTCTGTCTGTCTCTTTCTCTGTCTGTCTCTCTCTCACTCTGCCTGTCTCACTGTGTCTGACTTCTCTCTCTCTCTTTCTCTCTCTCTGCCTGTCTCACTGTGTCTGTCTTCTGACTTACTCTCTTTCTCTGCCCATCTGTCTGTCTCTCTCTGTCTGTTTCTCTCTGTCTCTCTCTGTCCATCTCTGTTTTTCTCTGTCTGTGTCTTTCTCTGTCTGTCTGCCTCTTTCTTTTTCTGTGTCTCTCTGTCTGTCTGTCTCTCTCTCTCTGTCTCTTCCTCCCTTTGTTTGTCTCTCTTTCTCTCACTCCCTCTCTCTATTTCTGTCTCTCTTTCTGTCTGTTTCTCACTGTCTCTCTCTGTCCATCTCTTTCTCTCTGTCTCTCTCTCTGCCTGTCTCTCTCACTGTGTCTGTCTTCTGTCTTACTCTCCTTCTCTGCCTGTCCGTCTGTCTGTCTCTCTCTCTCCCTGCCTTTCTGTTTCTCTCTCTCTCTGTCTCTCTCTCTTTCTGTTTCTGTCTCTCTCTGCCCATCTCTGTCTTTCTCTGTCTGTCTCTCTCTTTCTTTCTCTCTGTCTCTGTCTCTCTCTCTCTCTCTGCCTCTGTCTCTCTCTCTCTCTCTGCCTGTCTCTCTCACTGTGTCTGTCTTCTGTCTTACTCTCCTTCTCTGCTTGTCCATCTGTCTGTCTGTCTCTCTCCCTCCCTTTCTGTTTCTCTCTCTCTCTCTTTCTGTCTGTTTCTTTCTCTCTCTGTCTGTCTCTGTCTTTGTCTGTCTCTTTCTCTGTCTGTCTGTCTCTGTCTCTCTCTCTGCCTATCTCACTGTGTCTGTCTTCTGTCTTATTCTCCTTCTCTGCCTGTCTCTCTCCCTTTCTGTCTGTTTGTCTCTCTCTCTCCCTCCCTTTCTGTTTCTCTCTCTGTTTCTGTCTGTTTCTCTCTTTCTCTCTCTGTCTCTGTCTTTGTCTCTTTCTCTGTCTGTCTGTCTCTTTCTTTCTCTCTGTCTCTGTCTCTCTCTCTGCCTGTCTCACTGTGTCTGTCTTCTGTCTTATTCTCCTTCTCTGCCTGTCTGTCTCTCTCTCTCTCTTCCTGTCTGTTTCTCTCTCTCTCTTTCTGTTTCTTTCTCTCTGTGTCTGTCTCTGTCTGTCTGTCTCTCTTTCTTTTTCTCTGTCTCTCTGTCTCTCTCTCTCTGTGCCTGTCTCCCTGTCTGTGCCTGTCTTCTGTCTTACTTTCTTTCTCTGCCTGTCT
Source organism: Homo sapiens (assembly GCF_000001405.40). Classification (NCBI taxonomy): domain Eukaryota; kingdom Metazoa; phylum Chordata; class Mammalia; order Primates; family Hominidae; genus Homo; species Homo sapiens. The sequence goes on along the minus strand of NC_000020.11, from coordinate 30,502,722 downwards.
GCCTGTCTCTGTTTCTCTGTCTGTCTCCCTCCCTCCCTGTCTGTTTCTCTCTGTCTCTGTCTCTCTCTTTCTGTTTCTGTCTCTCTCTGTCCATATATGTCTTTCTCTCTTTGTCACTTTCTCTGCCTGTCACTCCCTTTCTTTCTCTCTGTCTCTCTCTCTCTCTGTCTCTGTCACTGTGTCTGTCTTCTGTCTTACTCTCTTTCTCTGCCTATCTGTCAGTCTCTCTCTCTCTCTGTCTGTCCCCCTGCCTTTCTGTTTCTCTCTCTGTCTCTCTTTCTCTTTGTCTCTGTCTGTCTCTTTCTTTCTTTGTCTTTCTCTCTGTCTCTGTCTCTCTCTCTCTCTGCCTGTCTCTCTCACTGAGTCTCTCTTCTGTCTTACTCTCTTTCTTTGCCTGTCTGTCTATCTGTCTCTCTCTCTCCCTCCCTGCCTTTCTGTTTCTCTCTCTCTCTGTCTCTCTCAATTTCTGTCTGTTTCTCTCTGTCTCTATTTCTGTTTGTTTCTTTCTGTCTCTCTCTGTCTGTCTCTGTCTTTCTCTGTCTGTCTGTCTCTTTCTTTTTTTGTGGCACGATCTCGGCTCATTGCAACCTCCACCTCCCAGATTCACGCCATTCTCCTGCCTCAGCCTCCCGAGTAGCTGGAACTACTCGGCACCCGCCACCACGCCTGGCTATATTTTTTTGTATTTTTAGTATAGACGGGGTTTCACCATGTTAGCCAGGATGGTCTTGATCTCCTGACCTCGTGATTCGCCTGCCTCGGCCTCCCAAAGTGCTGGGATGACAGGCATGAGCCATCGTGCCTGGCCTGTCTCTCTCTTTCTTTTTCTCTGTCTGTCTGTCTGTCTCTCTCTCTGTGCCTGTCTCTCTGTCTGTGCCTATCTTCTGTTTTACTCTCTTTCTCTGCTTGTCTGTCTGTCTCCCTCTCTCTGTCTGTCTCCCTCCCTCCCTGTCTGTCTGCTTCTCTCTGTCTCTGTCTCTCTCTCTTACTGTTTCTGTCTGTTTCTCTCTGTCCATCTCCGTCTTTCTCTCTCTGTCTCTTTCTCTGTCTGTCTCTCTCTCTGTCTCTCTCTGCCTGTCTCTCTCACTGTGTCTGTCTTCTGTCTTACTCTCTTTCTCTGCCTATCTGTCTGTCAGTCTCTCTGTCTCTGTCTGTCTCTCTCCCTCCCTTTCTGTTTCTCTCTCTCTCTCTTTCTGTCTGTTTCTGTCTCTCTCTGTCTGTCTCTGTCTTTCTCTCTCTTTCCTTGTCTTTGTCTCTGTCTCTCTCTCTCTCTCTGCCTGTCTCTCTCACTGTGTCTTCTGTCTTACTCTCTTTCTCTGCCTGTCTGTCTGTCTGTCTCTCTCCCTCCATGTCTCTCTCTCTCTCTCACTCACTCTCCGTCTCTCTCTCTTTCTGTCTGTTTCTTTCTATCTCTCTCTGTCCATCTCTGTCTTTCTATGTCTGTCTCTTTCTGTGTCAGTCTGTCAGGCACCTCGTGACGGGGAGGCCCTGCCCCTTCCATGAAAGTGAGAAGTGCGTGCTTAGGTGCTTAGAGAGGCCGAGAAGAATCTAGACAGATGGGCCCTACTGGGCTTCCCCACTCGGTGTATGATTTCGGGAGGTCGAGTCCGGGTCCCCACTTGGATGCAAGGGGCATTTTCAGACTTTTCTCTCTGTCACGTGTGGCGTCCGTACTTCTCATATTTCCCTGATAAGTTCCTCGACTTAAAAATAAACGGTTAAGGCCGGGCACGGTGGCTCACATCTGTCATCCCAGCACTTTGGGACGCCGAGGCGGGTGGATCACCTGAGGTTGGGAGTTCGAGACCGGCCTTGCCCCGTCTCTACTAAAAATACAAAACTGAGTCAGGAGCGGTGAGGCAGGTGCCTGTAATGCCAGCTACTTGGGAGGCTGAGGCTGGAGAATCGCTTGAACCTGGGAGGCGGAGGCTGCAGTGAGCTGAGATTGCACCACTGCACTACAGCCCAGGCTGTAGAGTGAGTGAGACTCTATCTCTAAATAAATAAATAAATAAATACATTCTTTTCCGTGCTGACTGACATTTGCAGGCATCGGTTGTCTTCGGGCATCACCTAGCGGCCACTGTTATTGAAAGTTGAGGTCACACGGAGGGAGGTCTCCCTGACTTCACCGAACCTGGGGCAACGGGTTTCTCTCTCTCCCTTCTGGAGGTCCCTCCCTCTCTCCCTAGTTGCCTAGGGAACCTCTGCCCTGGCGGGGGCCCTATTGTTCTTTGATCAGCGCTTTAGTTTTCTTTGTGTGTTGGTTTCTTTCATGCGCATAGACTCTTCTACTTGAGATTTAGGAGGGGTCAGTTTAATTTTCAAGTCGCCCCTCGGCTCCCCCCACTACCCACGTCCCTTTAGCTTCATTTAGTGAGTCAGTTAGGTGGGTTCCCCCCAAACCCCACCCCCCGCCTCCCGACACCCTGCTTGGAAACCTTCCGGAGCCACCCAGGTGAGCCTCCGTCTTCTCTCCCCTTCCCCCACCTCTTCCGCCGATCTCATTCTTGCCAGGCTGACATTTGCATCGGTGGGCCTCAGGCCTCACTCAGTGGCCACCGTTTTTGAAGATGGGGGTGGCACGGTCCCACTTCCCCAGAGGCAGCTTGGGCCGATGGCATAGCCCTTGACCCGCGTGGGCAAGCGGGCGGGTCTGCAGTTGTGGTTTTTTTCCCCCGCTTCCCTCCTCAGGCCTCCCTCCCTAGGAAAGCTTCACCCTGGCTGGGTCTCAATCACCTTTTATCATGATGTTTTAGTTTCTCCGCCCTCCGGCCAACATAGTTTCACAATGGGAAGGGCATCACAGCTCTAATCTGGGCCTTCTTAGCATTTTCCCAAAATAGAAACGCTTTCTGAAAACTAATACTTTGCTCACTTAAGATTTCCAGGGACGGTGCATTGGCCCGTGTTTGTTGGCTTGTTTTGTTTTGTTCATGTTTTTCCTTTTTCGTATGTATTTCTTTTCAGGTGAAGTAGAAATCCCCAGTTTTCAGGAAGACGTATATTTTCCCCAAGACATGTTAGCTGCTGTTTTCTCCTGTTAATTAGTGCTTTTGTGAATCTCTCAACGTGTAGTGAGAGCCGGCTGATGTTTACTAGACTTCAGAACATCTTATGTTCTAGAAATCCGTAATCGAATGCTGCTGCTGCTCTTGTTGCTGTTGTTGTTGTTGTTTTCAAAGCACACCCCGGCCACTGTTTACCGGATCAAAAGCATTATAAAATATGTGTAATTATTTCCTGAGCATGCCCTTCCTCCTCCTCTCTCTGTCTCTCTTTCTGTCTCTGTCTCTCTCTTTCTCTGTTTTCTCTCTCACTCTGTCTCTCTCTCTCTGCCTGTCTTATTTCTCTCTCTCTCTGCTTGTCTCTCTCTCTGTGTGTCTTCTGTCTTACTCCCTTTCTCTGCCTATATCTCTCTCTCTCTGCCTGTCTGTCTCTCTCTCTCTCTCTCCCTGTCTGTCTCTTTCTCTCTGTCTCTGTCTCTCTCTCTTTCTGTTTCTCTCTGTCCATCTCTGTCTTTCTCTCTCTTTCTTTCTCTATGTCTCTCTGTCTCTGTGTCTCTCTCTCTCTGCCTGTCTCTGTCTTCTGTCTTTCTTTCTCTGCCTGCCTGTCTCTCTCCCTTTCTCTCTCTCTGTCTCTCTTTGTTTCTGTCTGTCTCTGTCTTTCTCTGTCTGTCTCGTTGTCTGTCTGTCTGTCTGTATCTCTCTTTCTTTCTCTGTCTCGCTGTCTCTCTCTCTCTCTCTCTGTGTCTCTCACTGTGTCTGTCTTCTGTCTTATACTCTTTCTCTGCCTGTCTCTCTCTCCCTGTCTGTTTTTTTCTCTCTCTTTGCCTGTCTGTTTCTCTGTCTCTGTCTCTCTGTCTCTCTCTCTCTGCCTGTCTCTCTCTCTCTCTTTGTCTGTCTTCTGTCTTACCGTCTTTCTCTGCCTGTCTGTCTGTCTCTCTCTCTCTGTCTCTGTCTTTCTCTCTCTCTTTCCGTCTGGTTCTCTCTCTCCCTCTGTCTGTCTCTTTCTCTCTCTGTCTCTTTCCCTCTGTCTGTCTCTCTCTTTCTTTCTCTCTGTCTCTCCATCTGTCTCTGTCTCTCTCTCTGTGTGTGTGTCTGCCATCTGTCTTACTCTCTTTCTCTGCCTGTCTGTCTGCCTGTATGTCTGTCTCTCTCTTTCTTTCTCTGCCTGTCTGTCTCTCCCTCCTTGTCTGTTTCTCTCTCTCTCTGTCTCTGTCTGTCTCTCTCTCTGTCTGATTCTCTCTCTCCCTCTGTCTCTTTCCCTCTGTCTGTCTCTCTCTTTCTTTCTGTCTCTCCATCTGTCTCTGTCTCTCTCTGTGTGTCTGCCATCTGTCTTACTCTCTTTCTCTGCCTGTCTCTCTGCCTGTCTGTCTCTCTCTCCTTCTGTCTCTGTCTCTCTTTCTGTTTCTCTCTGTCTCTGTCCATCTCTCTCTTTCTCTGTGTCTTTATCTGTCTGTCTGTCTCTCTTTCTGTCTTTCTCTCTTTGTGTATCTTTGTGTCTCTGTCTGTCTCTCTGTCTGTCTCTCTCTTTCTCTCTCTCTCGCTCGCTCTCTGGCTCTCGCTATCTCCCACCCTCTCTTTCTTTGCAAAATAAGTTCAAGTACATCTAATCTAATCCATTACCATGGCCTGAATTCTTAACTTTAGACATCCCAGATTTGATCTCCCTACCGAATGCTGTACGGAACTGGTGAGTTGATTTCTGGACTTGGATACCTCATAGATACTACATATTAATAAAGATCCAACCCTAAAATCTGGGGTTGCATCTCCCTTGACCGTCTCAAAAAATCATACCTCTGTTCACCTAGGATGCTGGGTTTTCTCAATGTGCATCTGCTCGTGTCCTTCATGACCTGTGACCGAGCCCTGTCTGTTCTGTCTCAAATATGTATCTGCAAACACTTCTCTCCATTTCCACAACTACCCATGGCCCATTGTGGAACCACTGGCTCTTTGAAAAAAAATCCCAGAAGTGGCTTTGGCTTTTTGGCTAGGAGGTCTAAACCTGCTGAGAACTTTCCTGCCCAGGATTCTGTGTGAAAAAAAGTGCCTCTGCTGGGAGCTGGGATCCTCCAGACCATGCTTGCTAGCGCTGGATGAGTCTCTGGAAGGACGCACGTGAGTCCACAAAGCTGACCTGTCCCACCGAGATCAAATGGATACCTCTGCATTGGCCAGAGGCCTCCAACTTACATCACTGTTACCATCACCGTCAGCATCCTTGTGAGCCTGCCCAAGACCCCAACTCCGGGGAGACTCTTGGGAGCCCAGCCTTCCTCGGCTAAAGTCCAAAGGGATGGTGACTTCCACCCACAAGGTCCCCAGTGAACTGTGAAGATGTGGAGCGTAGGTCAGAGAGGGGACCAGGAGGGGAGACGTCTTGACAGGCGATGAGTTCCCTAGGCTCTGGCCACCCCACTCACATCCCATGTCCCGGGCATCCGCAGGACACCGCCGCTTTATCCCCTCCTCTGTCCACAGCCGCCCCCACCCCACCCCGCAACCCACGCACACACGCTGGAGGTTACAAAACCACAGGGCGTGAATACAGCCTGACGGAGCGAGAGCTTATTTCACGAGGCCGGGGGGTGCGGTGGGGTGGGGTGGGGGTTGGGGGTCTGTAGAGAGCCCGATTCTCCCTCGTGGGTGGCTACAGGATACAAATGAATATCGCTTCTTGGGTGGAGGGGCTTCCTTAGGCCGTCACGTTTGCGGGACTATCTTTCAAACCCTTCCTTGAGGCCACAAAATAGATTCCACCCCACCCCTCGACGTTTCCCGTTTCCCCGGGTGCTGGATGTATCCTGTCAAGAGACCTGAGCCTGACACGTTGAGTTAAACACCTTAACACCTTTATTGGCTTTGTGTGTTTGTTTGTTTCCGAGATGGAGTCTTGCCCTGTCCCCCGCCCCGGCTGGAGTGCAGTGGCGTGATCTCAGCTCACTGCAACCTCTACCTCCTGGGTTGTAGCGATTCTCCTGCCTCAGCGCCACCAAGCTTGGCTCATTTTTTTATTTTTAGTAGACACGGGGTTTGACCCTGTTTCATTGGTTTTCACTGGAGATTCTACATTCGATCACACCTCACTGTGTGCCACATAATGACTTCTTTTTTTTCTTTTTTTAAAGCACAATATATCTGCTTTATTTGAGTGGCTTTGTATATCGTTATAATTGTGTTATAGATGAAGAAAAGGTGTTAAACACGGTGCTAATAATAGTGAAAGTGAAAATAAAGAAAGGCTATCTATTTTGTAGTTAGAATAAAGTTGCTCAGTATTTAGAGTTACTGAAATACATCAGCATTTAAACTCCTCCTAGTAAAAGCTTGCCAATCTGAATAATCCTCCTTTAAACACAATTTTTGATATGGTTAAGGTTTTTAAGAATGTGACTCCTGCAGAATAGCTGAACAGACAATACACATTTAAAAAAGAACAACACAAGGGTCAATCAGACTTGGGAAAAAATCAAAAACAACACAAGTCTTATGAAGAACTGAGTTCTTAAAATATTACGGAGAACATAGCTATCGGAAGAGAAGGCAGTATTGGTAAGTTGATTGTTACATGTGTCAGCAAAAGCTAGCACTATTTTTTTGGCAATCTTTCAGGCACTGCAACTACTACTGCAAAATGAGATATAATCCATTAAACAACATATTCACAAATCAAAAAATGTTTTCGTAATGTAATGCTTCAGATTTAGAAGCAAATCAAGTGTTAAAACTCAACTGCTATAATAATTAACCCCAAAGATAACCATATCTGACAAAAAAGCTTCCACAGAGTTATGACTTCAGAATTATACTTTCTGTTGATATTTATTTATTTATTTATTTATTTTATTTTATTTTTTTTCTTGAGACGGCGTCTCGCTCTGTCACCCAGGCTGGAGTGCAATGGCGTAATCTTGGCTCACTGAAACCTCCATTTCCCAGGTTCAAGCAATTCTCCTGCCTCAGCCTCCTGAGTAGCTGGGACTACAGGCGCCCGCCACCATGCCCAGCTAATTTTTATACTTTTAATAGAGACCGGGTTTCACCATGTTGGCCAGGATGGTCTCAATCTCTTGACCTTGTGACCCGCCTGCCTCGGCCTCCCAAAGTGCTGGGGTGACAGGCGTGAGCCACTGTGCCTGGCCTTCTCTTGATATTTAGACTTTTAAGTCAGTTCAGAAAAATACAATAAATGTCAACAGTAAGTATGGTGTTGAGGCAGAAGTAGAACCAAACTTTTTCATATGTTATTCAGTTGATAACAATATGACCTGGGTAGTAATTTCCTATGTGTCTACTTATACACAAGTACAAAAGAGTAAAAGAGAGATACTGCTAAATAAAAGGGTACACTAAATTCTTAATAGTAACTCAATAAACTGGAACACTGTCAAAAAGCAGCAACTAGTGAATTTTTTCAGTGTTTTTTTCTATTATCCAATAAATGAATTATGCTATTCCTTTCCAATTTCCCAAGCACTTTTTGTCCCAATCACCATTTGTGTGTTTCAAGAAAAAGTAACAAATCAAGTAACAAAACTAAACAAGCAAACAAACAAACAAAACACAACTACAGTATCTGCAAAAGTTTGGTAGAAGACTGAAACTGTTGAGTATAAGGATCTGGTATTCTACTATCATTAGTTAACTTAAGAGTTTGTTAAAGACACACATTTCATAAGAAAACATGTTAGTTTGAGGTTATTGACCAGTATGTACCATCCCTAAGTATTAGTAACCAAATTCATGACAATAAAGAGCTATCTAACAAGAAAAATTAGTGACTATCAGCACCATCAACAAGACTTTGTCTTTACACTTCATTGCCACTTACCATGCATTATAATGTCTAGGATTGACTCTGATAGCATTTCAAAAACTAGCTAATGCTTTGTCCAATTCTTCAGTTAAGACAAACTCTCGCCTTAATAGAGTTATAGGCATAAGCATAATTTGGATCCACTTGGATAGCTCTCTGGAAGAATTTAATTGCAATATCGTGTTCCTGTTGCAGACTGAAACAGTTCCCTGCAACACACCAGGCCTCTGGGAAATTTTTATCCACATCTGTTAAGTCTTTTGACAGAACTGAAAGAGCAACATCTTTTTGAAGATGCCAAAGTGTTGTAGAGTAGATTTCTATGCCTTCGACTCTATAATTCTCAATCCTTCTAACCTCTGAGAATATTCTTTCAGCTTGCATGTACTCTGAAAGTTCAAAATAGGCCCTTCCAATTTGGCACAGTACCCAACCAGTATTGTAGTGGTGAGAAGGTAGATGGCTCAAAACATTTATAGCTTCTTTGCAGTGGTATGAACACAAAGCTAAATAACCTTTCCCCCATTCAAGAAAAAGGCTCATCAAGCCTTCTGCTGCTGCTTTTTGTAGACTAAAAGCCTGAATCTGAGGTGTGATTGTGGATATTTTCCCTTCTGAAATGATGAAAGAGTCCAATTTTGTAATTTCCAGGCTATCATTTATGTTAGGTTGAGTTATTCCTCCTTTATTAGTTTTACTTTTTGTTTTTCTGTTTGGGATTTTAGGTGGAAACTTCATTTTTAATTTCTTCCTATTCTTGGTTGTGGAACTGTCACTAGTCAAGAGTCGTGAACTTCTTCGATGCAGCGCATTTGGGGGAGATGTCATAGTGGGGCTCAATACCTGAGGTGTTGTACTTATTTATGGACCAGAACTTTCTGTTTGTGCAAGAATTGGAGTTACCTCTTGGCTATCTCCACCCTGTGAGAAGACAGACTTTGCTCCAGTTTGGCTGATTCTGGCAACAGACTTTTTTGAAGGGGCTCCGGTGGATGGCACATCAATTTCAGAAGGTGTATTAGTGTAGTTTTGTAAATAGGATCCATCTCCAGGACTTGGGGTTTCTAATGGCAAAATCCCAAAACTTGGGGTGAATGGACTAAAAGCTGCTGGTCCTCCTAATAAACTTCGACCAGTTTTTGGTTTATTTTGAACCTGTTTAGAAAATATGGAAGTTCCTGTTCCCAGTGGGACAGTATCAGGTGAAATTACAGCTGAATCAATAGAAGACACTGGGGAATCTGTATTCAAGGAGTACTTTGAATTGGAAGATTCTAAATTCAATCTGTTTAATTCAGTTGTGTCCTGTGGTGTTTCCGTAAGAACGGTCTCAGGCTGTCTGTGACATAAACTATGATTAGGTACTTGTGCTTTGCAAGAGTTGGGCAGACAGTTTCTAAAGTTCTGTGAAGATGCGAATTTAAATGTTTGGTCAGGATCTGGCTTTTCACCTATTTCACATAATGATTCGAAGGGATACCAGAGGAAAGGATTTAAACTAAGGCTCTTTTGGTAACATTCTGATCCTTTGGCAAGCCAATCTGTCTTGCAATATACATGTTCCAACAATGGAAGGGGAAAGCAAGCTGAATCATCAAACTCAGTAACAATATCATCATGGCTTTTCTGCTTATTAAACACTCCACCAGATAAGATTTGTTCCCCTTCTGCAAGCTTGCTAAGATCAACACAACATTTTGCAAGCAGGTATTTGCATTGTGGTGTAGGACAACTGTGTCCTTTCAAGAGTCTATATTCTTTATAGGCCTTTCCTGGGCGGTAAGAACAGGTCGCCAGTAAAAACAAGGCTTCTTCTGAGTGTACTTCTGCATAAAGGTGTTCTGCGAGGAAAACCCCATCTCTGTAAGCATAGTGGTTTAGTGCTTGCCATATAGCAGCCTGGACAGTTTCCTGCAGCACCGTCATCCTCGAGGCTCAGACCCACTTTCTGCAGTGCCTCAGGCACCCCCCACCCCGCCCACCCCCCTCCCCCCCATAGCGTCTCCGGCCTTGCCAGTCTCAGCTCATTTAAACTCACCAGTTTTGTAGGTTGCCTGTTCACTCTGATGGTAGTTTCTTTTGTTGTGCAGAAGCTCTTTAGTTTAATTAGATCCCATTTGTCAATTTTGGCTTTTGTTGCCATTGCTTTTGGTGTTTTAGACATGAAGTCCTTGCCCATGCCTATGTCCTGAATGGTAATGCCTAGGTTTTCTTCTAGGGTTTTTATGGTTTTAGGTCTAACATTTAGGTCTTTAATCCCTCTTGAATTGATTTTTGTATAAGGTGCAAGGAAGGGATCCAGTTTCAGCTTTCTACATATGGCTAGCCAGTTTTCCCAGCATCATTTATTAAATAGGGAATCCTTTCCCTATTGCTTGTTTTTCTCAGGTTTGTCAAAGATCAGATAGTTGTAGATATGCGGCATTATTTCTGAGGGCTCTGCTCTGTTCCGTTGATCTACATCTCTGTTTTGGTACCAGTACCATGCTGTTTTGGTTACTGTAGCCTTGTAGTATAGTTTGAAGTCAGATAGTGTGATGCCTCCAGCTTTGTTCTTTTGGCTTAGGATTGACTTGGCGATGCGGGCTCTTTTGTGGTTCCATATGAACTTTAAAGTAGCTTTTTCCAATTCTGTGAAGAAAGTCATTGGTAGCTTGATGGGGATGGCAAAGGAATCTAGAACTAGAAATAGGATTTGACCCAGCCATCCCACTACTGGGTATATACCCAAAGGACTATAAATCATGCTGCTATAAAGACTTATGCACACGTATGTTTATTGCAGCACTATTCACAATAGCAAAGACTTGGAACCAACCCAAATGTCCAACAATTATAGACTCGATTAAGAAACTGTGGCACATATACACCATGGAATACTATGCAGCTATAAAAATGATGAGTTCATGTCCTTTGTAGGGACATGGATGAAATTGGAAATCATCATTCTCAGTAAACTATCGCAAGAATAAAAAACCAAACATCGCATATTCTCACTCATAGGTGTGAATTGAGCAATGAGAACACATGGACACAGGAAGGGGAACATCACACTCTGGGGACTGTTGTGGGGTGGGGGAAGGGGGGAGGGATAGCATTGGGAGATATACCTAATGCTAGGTGACGAGTTAGTTAGTAGGTGCAGCACACCAGCATTGCACATGTATACATATGTAACTAACCTGCACATTGTGCACATGTACCCTAAAACTTAAAGTATAATAATAATAAAAATAAAAATAAAAAATAAACTCACCAGTTACCAGGGGTTGGGGGAGGCTGAGCCAGGATGACTTCTTTAGCCTGCTGACTCTGGAAAGCCCAGCCCCTTGTGATCCATTGCAAAGTGAGAGTCACCTCATGTTTGGAAAATGGATTTGCTCCCAAGTTCAGTGGAGGGATGTGGCATGTAGGATGAAGGACTCTCTTCCTTCGGATTCGGTCTGCACAGTGGGGCCTAAGGCTGGAGCTCTCTCTGTGTGGACCGCTGACTCCCTCTACCTTGGGTTCCATCGGCCCCACCCTGGGACACGGGCCTTGGCAGATTCTGGCCCTTCCTGGCCCTTAAGTTGCTGTCAGAAACCCCATCTCATGCTCAGATGCCCCGAATGACTGTGGCTCGCGCATCACTGGAAACATTGGAAATCTCTCCTCTATGTGTGGCCACCTAAAACCACAGGAGCTCAAGACACACGGCCGCCATCCACCTCACTGTTTTCGGGAGAGAATGCTGAGAGTCTCTTACCGACTCTTTCTTGACTTGAGTTCTTCATGGGTGTGTGGTTAAGACGTAGTGAGACCAGATGTATTAATTCAAGTCGGGTGCCGGTGCCTCACGCCTGTAACACCAACACTTTGGGAGGTTGAGGCCGTAGGATCCCTTGAGGAATCGCCTAACCCAGGGGAGGTTGAGGCTGCAGTGAGTGAGCCATAATGGTGTCACTGCACTCCAGTCTGGGTGAAAGACAGAGTGAGGCCCTGTCACCGGCAGGCAGGCAGGCAGGCAGGCAGACAGACAACAGTTATATTATATTCTTCTCAGGGTAGGAAGTAAAAATAACAGAATACAGTGCGTAATTTTTTTTTTTTTTTTGATACGGAGTTTCACTGTTGTTGCCCACACTGGAGTGCAATGGCACCATCTTGGCTCACCGCAACCTCCACCTCCTGTGTTCAAGCGATTCTCCTGCCTCAGCCTCCTGAGTAGCTGGGATTACAGGCATGTGTCACCACAACCAGCTGATTTTGTATTCTTAGTAGAGACGGCATTTCTCCATGTGGATCAGGCGGGTCTCGAACTGGCCCCCTCAGGTGATCTCCCACCTCAGCCTCCCAAAGTGCTGGGATGACAGGCGTGAGCATTTGAGACCCGCCAGCTACGTTTTTTTTAAATTTTCAATTTTAATCTATTTATTATTATTTTTTTTTTAGACGGAGTCTCACTCTGTTGCCCAGACTGGAGTGCAGTGGCATGATATCAGCTCACTGCAAGGTCTGCCTCCCAGGTTCACGCCATTCTCCTGTCTCAGCCTCCCAAGTAGCTGGGACTACTGGCACCCGCCATGGCGCCTGGCTAATTTTTGGTATTTTGAGTAGAGACGGGGTTTCACTGTGGTAGCCAGGATGGTCTCGATCTCCTGACCATCGTGATCCATCCGCCTCGGCCTTCCAAAGTGCTGGGATTACAGGCGTGAGCCACCGCGCCCGGCCTACTTATCTATTTATTAATGTTGAGTCCAGTTTATGAAACCAGTTAGTTTTCGTATTTTTTTAGAGACGAGGTTTCACCATGTTGCCAAGGCTTGGATCGAGGGATCCACCTTCCCTCGCCTCCCAAAGTGCGGGGATGACAGGCGTGAGCCTACCACGCCCGGCTCCTCCCCTTCACCCCCCAGCTTATCCCTCAGGTGCCCGAGGTCCAGTGGTGGTGTGTTGTTCCCACCCCCAGCGCCCCCTCCTCCGGTCACCGCCGTGATGTCCACGAGTGGGTCCTGAGGGAGCTCGTTGGTGTGGGGGTCGAAGCGGTTGAGTGAGATGGGCCCCTCCCACGCGGGGAAGGGTGCCGCCTGATCTGACAAGCGCAGTTCCCGTGCTCCCCTCTGGCGGGTGCACTCGGGCCGTGTGAGCTATTGCGGTGGGCTGGGGCAGATGACGCGTGCGCCGGCCGGCCGCCCGCCGAGGGGCTACCGTTCTGCCTCCGACAGGTTGTGTGTGGGTTTACTTGGAGGTGCTTTGCCTAGGAGAAAGGAGGCTGGTGGATGGGGGGGCCCTTGGGGGATTGCGTGCACGCGCAGCGGCCAGGCCCCCCACCCAGACCGGGAAGGCTCAAGGTTGCCGCACGCAGATTTTTCCTGGTACCGCAGGCCCTCTCCCTTCCCTAGGCGTCCCTGAGCACCTCTGCGGGCCCGACGAGGGGCGACTGGCGGGTGGGGAGTGTGACCCACCCTCGGTGAGAAAGCCTTCTCTAGCGATCCGAGAGGTGTGCCTTTGGGGTACCGGATCCCCCTGCCTGCCGCCTCTCCCTGCGTTATGGTAGCGCTGCGTAGCGACTGGCTTGCAGAGGACCCTCCTCCGCTTCCCCTTGATGGGGTGATGGGGGGAGAGCAAGGGTTCCGCCAGTCTCCGCGGTGGGGACCCAGGGCAGCTCGTCGCCTACTGTGTGGCCCACGCCTCCCCCTTCCGAGTCGGGGGAGGATCCCGCCGGGCCGGGCCGGCGTCCTAGCGGTTGGGAGGCTGCGCGAGCGGTGGCTGTGCCTGGCTTTCATTCCGGCTTGTGACATGTTCCGCTGTGAGCCGGCTCTCTGCCCGCTCCCCTGCAGAGCAGCGACCGGTGCAGACGACCGCGTTTGTGTGGCACGGGGTTTGGGCCGCCTGGCCCTGGGAAGCGTCCCAAGTGGGGGGCATGCCGGTCTCCCAGAGCTTGACCGGGTTGGAGGATGGGTGAGAAACGAGCAACGTGGCCCTGGCGTTGGGTTTGTGGCTGAGGTCGCCTCGGGGTCCTGATGGCGGGACCCGGGGCTCATGAGGCGGGTCTCGGTGGGTGCCGAGGGCCGTCCGGCATCCTAGGCGGGTCGCTGCGGGACCTCCCTCGTGTCTGTGGCGGTGGGATCCCGTGGCCGTGTTTTCCTGGTGGCCCGGCCGTGCCTGAGGTTTCTCCCCGAGCCGCCCCTCTGCGGGCTCCCGGGTGCACTTGCCGTCGCGGTCCCTGGCCTTGCCCGTCTGTGCCCCCCACCCTGCCCGCGGATCCTCTCTCCCCGAGCGACTCACCGCCTTAGGCTGTGGTGGCCCCGTCTGGGACCAAACCCGGCTCTGCCTTGTGGGGCGCCGCCGCCGGCCACTGGTTGGCCCGTTGTCTGTGTCCCCGGGCGTGCGCCTTTGGGACCAGGTCGGCGGCACCCCGAGTGGGCGTGGTGGGCACCCGGAGGGTTTGGGGTCTGCCTGCAGTGCGTGCAGGGAAGAGGGTTCCGGGGGCTGGCCGCGACAGTGGCGGTGGTGGGGGAGCCGCAGGCCCTCCGAAGGCCAGTCAGCCGCTCCAGGTGCCGCGCGGGGCCGCCTTCATGCTCGGAGGCCGCTGGCGGTGAGAACCCAGGCACAGCGGTCCGCCTCTCGTTCGCTGCCCAAACGTCGGGGCCGCCCCGTGCCCTCCGTGCATGAGTGGCCGCCGGTCCCTCGCGGCTGCCGCACACGGGTCGGGCGGTCTGCCTTCTCGCACATGGGCGCGAAGGGTCGGGAGTGGTGAGCCCGTCGGGGGGTGTTGTGTCGTGTGAATGGATGGGATGTCCGGTTCGCCGCCCCACCACCCCCCTCCCACCACCCCGAGCTGCTCCCTCCCTCCCCCACGCCCCATCGCCTGCCCTGCCGCGCCCAATCTCACAACTGGGACGCGGGGCTCATCCTCGCAAGTCCCGGAGGCTGCTTTCTACCTACCTGGTTGATCCTATCAGAACCATATGCTTGTCTCAAAGATTAAGCCATACATGTCTAAGTACGCAGGGCCAGTACAGTGAAACTGTGAATGGCTCATTAAATCAGTTATGGTTCTTTTGGTTGCTGGCTCCTCTCCTACTTGGAAAACTGTGGTAATTCTAGAGCTATTACATGCCGAAGGGCACTGACCCCCTTCACGGGGAAGATGCGTGCATTTATCAGATTAAAACCAACCCAGTCAGCCCCTCTCCGGCCCCGGCCGGGGGGTCGGGTACCACCAGCTTTGGTGCCTCTGGATAACCTCGGGCCAATCGCACGCCCCCCGTGGCAGCGATGACCCATTCGAACGTCTGCCCTATCAACTTTCTATGGTAGTCACTGTGCCTACCATGGTGACCACGGGTGACAGGGAATCAGGGTTCGATTCTGGAGAGGGAGCCTGAGAAACGGCTACCACATTCAAGGAAGGCAGCAGACATGCAAATTACCCACTCCTGACACGGGGAGGTAGTGACGAAAAATAACAATACAGGACTCTTTCGAGGCCCTGTAATTGGAATGAGTCCACTTTAAATCTTTTAATGAGGATCCATTGGAGGGCAAGTCTGGTGCCAGCAGCCATGGTAATTCCAGCTCCAATAGCGTATATTAAAGTTGTTGCAATTAAAAAGCTTGTAGTTGAATCTTGGGAGCAGGTGGGCTGGTGAGCCACGGCCCATCCCTGCTTCTTGCCTCTCGGTGCCCCCTGGATGCTCTTAGCTGAGTGTCCTCTGGCCCAAAGCGTTTACTTTGAAAAAATTAGAGTGTTCAAAGCAGGCCCAAGCCACCTGGATACTGCAGCTTGGAATAATGGAATGGGACTGCGGTTCTATTTTGTTGGTTTCCGGAACTGAGGCCATGATTAAGAGGGATGGCCGGGGGCATTCATATTGCACCGCTAGAGGTGAAATGCCTGGACTGGCACAGTTTGAACTGGAGCAAAAGCATTTGCCAAGAATGTTTTCATTAATCAAGAATGAAAGTCGGAGGTTCGAAGACAATCAGATACCGTGGTAGTTCCGACCATAAACGATGCCGACTGGCGATGTGGCGGCGTTATTCCCATGACCCGCTGGGCAGCTTCCAAGAAACCAGCCTTTGGGTTTTTCAGTTCCGAGGGGAGTATGGTTGCAAAGCTGAAACTTAAAGGAATTGACAGAAGGGCACCACCAGGAGTGGAGCCTGTGGCTTAATTTGACTCAACATGGGAAAACTCACCCGGCCTGGACAGGGACAGGATTGATAGATTGATAGCTCTTTCTCGATTCCATGAGTTGTGGTGCACGGCCTTAATTGGTGGAGTGATTTGTCTGGTTAATTCCGATAACGAACGAGATTCTGGCATGCCAAATAGTTATGCGACCCCCAAGTGGTCGGCATCCCCCAACTTCTTAGAGGGACAAGTGGCGTTCAGCCACCTGAGATTGAGCAATAACAGGTCTGTGATGCCCTTAAATGTCCAGGGCTGCACGTGCGCTACACTGACTGGCTCAGCGTGTGCCTACCCTATGTGGCAGATGTGGGTAACCTGTTGAACCTCATTGGCGATGGTGATCGGGGATTGCAATTTTTCCCCATGAACGAGGAATTCCCAGTAAATGCGGGTCATAAGCTTGCGTGAAGTCCCTGCCCTTTGTACACACTGCAGGTCACTACTCCTGATTGGATAGTTTAGTGAGGCCCTCGGATCAGCCCCGCTGGGTCAGCCTACTGCCCTGGCGGAACACTGAGAAGACAGTCGAACTTGACTATCTAGAGGAAGTAAAAGTCGTAACAAAGTTTTGGTAGGTGAACCTGTGGAGGGATCATTAACAGAGAAGAGCGAAGCCACAGAGACGCCGCCATGTCCTTCCTCCTTGGCCGACCGTGTTCCCCCTGTGGCGCATGCATGGGCGGGGTCTTGCCCTTTGTTTGTTGCATGGCCCCGCCTGCCCCCAGAGCCGGAGAACTCCGGAGGGAGAGAGGTGGTAGAGAGACAGGCATGTGGGGATGAAACCATGTGTGCGTGTCATGGGGCTGGCTGGATGGCTCGCCGGCCTGGTGAGCAGCGGGGAGTGGTCACCTGACGTGGCCCCCATGTGTGCATCGGTGGGCACGGAGGTATTTCTCGGCATCATGGTGGGGTGGGGGTCTCGGTGCCCTCCCCACTGGGGCCGTCGTCCTGCCGTGTCCCACTGTCTCGGCCCCATCCTGCCCGCTCCCGTCAGGGCTGGCCAGGTTCCCATCACTGCCGCTGCCACCATCATCGCCTCTGCCAAACCACACCACTGGCCCGTCCCGGCCCACTTTCTCTTCCCAGCCTTCCCGCTAGGGGGTCTCGAGGGTAGGGAGCTGGACGCCGGTCCCACCCCCCTCATCCGCCCCTGCCATCCAGGTACCTAGCGCATTCTGGCGTGGAGGTTTAAGGACCCCTTGGGGGGTCGCCGGTCCGCCTGTGGGTCAGGTGCAGTGGGCCCACGGTGGAGTCCGTTCAGGAGGGGCCCACCCCTCCCTCGCCTCCCCTGCTGACTCCGTCTCCCCGGCCAGCCGGGGCCGCGCCACACTTTGGTGTCACCGCTGATGCCGGTGGGGGCTTTATCCAGCGGCCATCGTGATGTTGCACACATGCCACGGGTGTGGCCTGTGCCCCGCGCTGTGGGGGCGGGAACCCCTGGGCTCCCATGGGGTGGTGTCAGCGTTTGCCCCCCCCTCCATGGTTGGCACTGCCTCCCTGTATTGTGAAACCTTCCAACCCCTCTCTGGAGTCTGGTCCCATTGCTGTCTGACTGGCCGGCCTGAGGTAATCCCTCTGGGGGACGTGCTGTGCCAGGAGGGCCTCCCGTTCTTGGGAGTGCCCTCGCCAAATCAACCTTTTATGACTTTTAGTGGTGGATCACTCGGCTGCTGCGTCAATGAAGAATGCAGCTAGCTGGGAGAATTAATGTGAACCGCAGGACACATTGATCATTGACACTTCGAATGCACTTGCGGCCCGGGTTCCTCCTAGGGCTATGCCTGTCTGAGCGTCGCTTGCCGATCAAAATCCCCCGGGGTTGCCTCCAGGCTCCTCGGGGTGCACGGCTGTTCCATGGCATGGCCCACGGGGCCCTCTGTTCCCCCAAGTGCAGACCAGCGACATCCGCCCTCCTCTCCTGCTGTACCCGCCCCTTCCCCCTCCCCCAACAGGCCCTGTGTGGTCACGCATTGGGTGGCGTGGGGAAGGGGGGCTCCCGGCTGTGAGGAAGAGAGAGAGGGCAGCACCGCCACCAGTGAAAAAAGAGAGGGAAGATAGCCGGCTGCGGCCGAGTTCCCGTGGCCACCATCACGGTCTGGGTTCCTCCCTTGGGGGCTCCCTCTTGCCTCATGCAGCTCATGGTGTGGGGTTCATTGGCCCTGGCAGGGTGGAAGGTCCCATGCCATCATCGTCGCACGTCGTCGGTGGTGGGGGCTTGTTGGGGGCGGGGAGGAACGCAAATAGGAAGGGTCCACCGGGGAGAGGGTGGCGGAGCACGTCCCGGTCGCCGCGGTTCACCGTCCACCCCTGGAGGCGGCCCAGCAACTGGCCGACCACAGCTCCAGTGCCCCTCCTCCCCAACACTCCTCCGAGGCACCGTCCTCCTCGCCCACCCACACCCTGCCCACCCCCCACCCGCCCGGCACGTCACGGTGTGTCCGGGGCCGGAAGCCTGCCACACGGCCCGTCTGGTCCCATGGTTCGCTTGCCCCTGGTGGTGATCCGCTGGACGCTGTGGTGTCATCCACCATCGCGCGCCCGCCTCCAGCTCTGGGCCTTTCGGGGCAGGGCAGCGCCACCGTGTCCTCGGACCCGTCCCCCACCTCCATTTAGTACGTAGGCAATCTCATGTAACTTAGCAAAGCTAGCATGTCCCTAGACTTGGCACAGCCACTGTAAGGGTGTCCTCCCAGTAGCATCGTTAACATTAATTGTAATTGGTAGGCAATCACTTAGTTTCACATTTCATTACCCGAGTTACACAAATGTGTAAAAAAATACAGTTTTAATAAAAGGGAGCAAAGGATAATATGAGTAATATTCACAATATCTAGTTGGAAGAGGTAGTGTTTTCTCAGAAATGATGCATTCCTGGAACAAGGTCATTTTGTGTTTGGTTTGTTAAATATCTATTTCCATTTTGACAAACCACTGGAAAAGCCCAGCTTCACAAGGACTCTCCATGAGAATGATCACACAAAAGAACACCCATAACACAAAATCAAAACAAGGGTTGTCCAGGCGTCACATTAAAGGCTCATTACCAAGTTTTCTTAGAAGAGATAAAGAACACAAAGTTACTTTTATGTGATGGAAAACAGAGAGAAAGAGTAAATGCAACAATAAATTTTAGGTAACAACAGTGAAAAACAAGCTGTGGGAAAAAATGAATGGAAATGTTTTGTTTGGTATTGATTTCCTATCCTGATATCAGAAAGTATGGGAAAGAACAAAGCACATTTTTTTGAGACAGAACATAAAACAGATGAATGTTAAAGACTGTTTTACAGTGCTAACAAAACTATCTGTGACTTGTTTTTTCCCTTTAAAAATACGATTTTGTACAATTACATTTATATAAATTATTGAAATAAAATTGTAAAGATGGAGAACAGACTATGGGGTTGCCAAGGGGAAGGGGTGGAGAAAACGTGTCAGAGTGTCAGCAAAGATCCCAAGTTGGAGCCTGGTGGTGAGGCTACAGTTCTGCATCTTGACTTTGGAAGTGGTAGTTACAGAGATCTACACCACATAAAAATGAACAGAACACACGCACACACATACACACGTACAAAAATGAATGCATGCAAAACGGTTGCGATCTGAGTAAGCTTTCTGAATTGTACCTATGTCAGTTTCCAGGTTTTGATAATGCTCTATGGCTATGTGAGATGTCACCACTGGAATTAGTGAAGAGTACCTAAGACATCCCTGTACCTTTTGCAACTTCCTGTGAATCTATAATTATTTCAAAAGAAAGTTGAAAGTCATAGCAGACTTTCACTTCAAAGAGGAAAAAAACTGAAGATTAATGAAATTGTTGAAAAACATCAAATACTCAATAGTCTGTATGAGAGCTGTATTCTGTCCACTCCCAGCACAGCTGTCATTTAGCCTTTTCCTGATGTGCCCTGGAGGACTTGAGCTCCTCTTGGGTTGCCAAGGCCAATAGTGTTTATTTGTTACTAACTTTGTACTGGACCCCCAAAAATGAAAAGTGATTGAATAATCATTTATAATAACAACTAGTAATTTTACTTATAAAGAGACAATAGTGGTAACCAATTTAAATATTTAGGGTAAAGAATAGGATCTTTGTAAGACAATACTGGCAAAATTTAAAAAGAAAAAATAAGGAATCAGAAACATAAGCAGTTCAGTATTGTGAAAAAATTCTGGATCTGAGAAGCAAAAGAACAGAGATTGTATTGCGTTTCTGCTCCAAACCTGATGAATCACCTTAGCTGTGTTTTGTTTCTGCACCAAAGCTGTGGAATCACCTTAGGCAATGCATGTCCTTTCCCTGAATCTGTTTTCTTTTCTACAAAATAAAGTGAGCTAGATCATCTCCAAGGTCCCCCAAATATTCACATTTTCGGCTCTACATGAACTTCTGTTGAATTCCTAATTTCAGTGTGGATAACACATGTGTGCTGCACCACAAGCAGTGTTTCTAAATGCTCATGTTGGTCCTAAAAACTAATTATGAGCAGTTTGGAAATTTTGTTGTTATAGAATCTGCAAAGGGATATCTGTGAGTGCTTTGAGACCATGGTGAAAAAGGAAATACTTTTACATAAAAACTATAAAGAATGTTTCTGAGAAACTGCTTTGTGATGTCTGCATTCATCTCACAGAGTTAAACGTTTCATTCCCTTGACCAGTCTGGAAACTCAGTTCTTGTGCAATCTGCAAAGTGATATTTGTGAGCACTTTGATGTCTATGGTGAAAAAGGAAATATCTTCACATAAAAACTAGACAGACGCTTTCTGAGAAACTACTTTTTGACGTGTGGATTCATCTCACAAAGTTAAACCATTCTTTTGATTGAAAAGCTTGGAAATGGTGTTTTGTAGAATCTGCAGAGGGATATTTGTGAGCACTTTGAGGCCTATGGTGAAAAAGGAAATATCTTTACATAAAAACTAGAAAGAAGATTTATGAGAAACTGCTTTGTGATGTGTGTGTTCATCTCACAGAGGTAAATCATTCTTTTCATTGAGCAGATTGGAAACTCTGTTCTTGTAGGATCTGCAAAGGGATATTTGTGAGCAGTTTGAGGCCTATGGCGAAAAAGGAAATATCATTGCATAAAAACTTGACAGAAGTTTCTGAGAAACTTCCTGGTTATGTGTGCATTCATATCACAGGGTTGAACCATTCTTTTGATTGAGCAGTTTGGAAACAGTATTTTTGTAGAATTGGCAAAGGGATATTTGTGATCACTTGGAGGCCAATGGTGAAAAAGGAAATCTCTTCACATAAAAACTAGACAGAAGCTTTCTGAGAAACTTTTTTTGTGATTTGTACATTCATCCCAGAGTTGAACCATTCTTTTGATTGAGCAGTTTGGTAACAGTCTTTTTGTAGAATCTGCAAAGGGATATTTGTGAGCGCTTTGAAGCTTATGTTGAAAAAGGAAATGTCTTCACATAAAAACTAGAAAGAAGGTTTCTGAGAAACTGATTTGTGATGTGTGAATTCATCTCACAGAGTTGAACCTTTCTATTGATTGAGCATTTTGGAACCAGTATTTTGTAGAATCTGCAAATGGATATTTGTGAACACTTTCAGGCTTATGGTGAAAAAGGAAATATCTTCACATGAAAACTAGACAGAAGCTTTCTGAGAGACATCTGTGTAATGTGTGCACTCATCTCACAGAATTGAACCATTCCTTTGATTGAGCAATTTGGAAACAGTCTTTTTGTAGAATATGCAAAGGGATATTTGTGAACGCTTTGAGGCCTATGGTGAAAAACGAAATAAATTCACATAAAAACTAGACAGAAGGTTTCTGAGAAACTGCTTTTTAATGTGTGCATTCATCTCACAGAGGTAAACGTTTCTTTTCATTGAGCAGATGGGAAACTCTTTTCTTGTGCAATCTGCAAAGGGATATTTGTGAGCAGTTCGAGGCCTATGGTGAAAAAGGAAATATCATCGCATAAAAACTTGACCGAAGTTTCTGAGAAAGTTCATGGCTATGTGTGCATTCATCTCACAGAGTTGAACCATTCTTTTGATTGAGCAGTTTGGAGACAGTATTTTTGTAGAATTGGCAAAGGTATATTTGTCAGCTCTCTGAGGCCTATGGTGAAAAAGGAAATATCTTCAATAAAAACTATAAAGAATGTTTCTGAGAAGCTGTTTTGCAAGGTGTGCATTCATCTCACAGAGATAAAAGTTTCTATTCCTTAATGAGTCTGGAAACTCTGTTCTTGTAAATTCTGCAAAGGGATATTTGTGAGCGGCTTGAGGCCTATGGTGAAAAAGGAAATATCTTCACATAAAAACTAGACAGAAGATTTCAGAAAAACTGCTTTGTGATATGTGCATTTATCTCACAGAGTTGAACCATTCTTTTGATTGAGAAGTTTGGAAAGAGTCTTTTCAGAGAATCTGCAAAGGGATATTTTGAGCGCTTTGATAGGTATGGTGAAAAGGGAAATATCTTCATATAAAATACTGGACAGAAGCTTTCTGAGAAACTTCTTTGTGATGTGCACATTCATCTCACAGAGTTGAACCTTTCTTTTGATTGAGCACTTTGGAAAGAGTCCTTTTCTAGAATATGCAGAGGGATATTTATGAGTCCTTTATGGCCTAAGGTGAAATAGGAAATATCTTCACATAAAAACTAGACAGAAGCATTCTGAGAAACTTTTTTGTGAAGTGTGCTTTCATCTCACAGAGTTGAAGCTCTCTTTTCGTTGAGGAGTTTGGAAACAGTCTTTTTGTAGAATATGCAAATGGATATTTGGAGCGCTTTGAGGCCTATGGTGAAAAAGGAAATATCTTCACATAAAAACTAGCCAGAAGCATTCTTAGAAACTTCTTTGTGATGTATGCATTCATCTCACAGAGTTGAACCTTTCTTCTGATTGAGCAGTTTCAAAACAGTCCTTTTGTAGAATCTGCAAAGGGATATTTGTGAGCCCTTTGAGGCCTATGGTAAAATAGGAAATATCTTCACATAAAAACTAGTCAGAGGATTTCTGAGAAACTTCTTTGTGATGTATGCTTTCATCTCACAGAGTTGAACCTTTCTTTTTATTGAGCAGTTTTGAAACACATTTTTTGTAGAATCTGCTATTTGGAGCACTTTGAGGACTGTGGTGAAAAAGGAAATATCTTCACAAAAACCTAGAAAGCAACATTCTATGAAACTTCTTTGTGATGTGTGTTTTCATTTCACAGAGTTGAACCTTTCTATACATTGAGCAGTTTGGAAACCATCTTTTTGTAGAATCTGCAAATGGACATTTGGAGACGTTTGAGGCCTTGTTGAGAAAGGAAATATACTCACATAAAAACTAGACAGAAGCATTCTGAGAAACTTCTTTGTGACGTGTGCATTTATCATACAGAGTTGAAGCTTTCTTTTGGTTGAACAGTTTGGAAATAGTCTTTTTGTAGTATCTCCCGAGGGATGTTTGCAAGTGGTTTGAGGCCTATGGTGAAAAAGGAAATATCTTCACATAAAAACTAGACAGAAGCTTTCTGAGAAACTTCTTTGTGATGTGTGAATTCATCTCACAGTGTTGAACCTTTTGTTGGATTGAGCAGGTTGGAAACAATCCTTTTGTGGAATCTGCAAAGGTATATTTCTGAGCCCATTGAGGCCTATGGTGAAATATGAAATATCTTCCCGTAAAAACTAGACAGAATGTTTCTAAGAAACTTCTTTGTGATGTGTGCTTCCATCTCACAGAGTTGAACCTTTCTTTTGATTGAGCAGTTTGGAAACACTCTTTTTGTAGAATCTGCAAATGGATATTTGGAGCACTTTGAGGCCCATGGTAAAAAAGGAAATATCTTCACATAAAAACTAAATGGAAGCTTTCTGAGAAACTTTTTTATGATGTGTGCATTCATCTCCCAGAGTTGAACCGTTCTTTTGTTTGAGCAGTCGGAAACAGTCTTTTTGTAGAATCCGCAAATGGGTATTTGGAGCGGTTTGAGGCCTATGGTGAAAAAGGAAACTTCTCCACATAAAAACGAGACAGAAGCATTCTGAGAAACTTCTTTGTGATGAGAGATTTCATTTCACAGAGTTTAACCTTTCTTTTCATTGAGCAGTTTGGAAACAGTCTTTTTGTAGAATCTGCTAAGGGATATTTGTGAGCCGTTTGAGGCATGTGGTGAAAAAGGAAATACCTTCACATAAAAACTAGACAGAAGTATTTTGAGAAACCTCTTTGTGATGTTTGAATTCATCTCACAGAGTTGAACCTTTCTTTTGATTGAACAGTTTGGAGACAGTCTTTTTGTACAATCTGCAAAGGGATATTTCTGAGCCGTTTGAGGCCTATGATGAAAAAGAAATATCTTCCAAAAAAACTAGACAGAAGCATTCTTAGAAACTACTTTGTGATGTGTCCATTCATCTCACAGAGTTGAAACTTTCTTTTGACTGAGCAATTTGGTAACAGTATTTTTGTAGCATATGCAAACGTATATTTGTGAGCCCTTTATGGCCTATGGTGAAATAGGAAATATCTTCACATAAAAACTAGACAGTAGCTTTTTGAGAAACTTCTCTGTGATGTGTACTTTCATCTCACAGATTTGAAAATGTCTTTCAATTGTGCAGATTGGAAACAGTCTTTTTGTACAACCTGCAAATGGATATTGGGATCGCTTTGAAGCCTATGGTGAAAAAGGAAATATCTTCACATAAAAATTAGATGAAAGCATTCTGAAAAACTTCTTTCTGTCATTTGCATTCATCTCACACTGTTGAACATTTCTTTGATTGAAGATTTGGAAACAGTTTTTTTTGTAAAATCTACAAAGGGATAATTGTGAACCCTTTGAGGCCTATTGTGAAGTAGGAAATATCTTCATATAAAAATTACACAGAAACATTCTGAAAAACTTTTTTGTGATGGGTGCATTCGTCTCACACAGTTGAAGCTTTCTTTTCCTAGAGCAGTTTGGAAGCAGTCCTTTGTAGAATCCCCAAAGGGATATTTCTGAGCTCATTGAGGCCTTTGGTGATATAGAAAATATCTTCACATAAAAGCTAGACAGAAGCTTTCTGAGAAACTTCTTTTAATGAGTGCTTTCATCTCAAAGAATTGAGGGTTTCTTTTGACTGAGCAGTTTGGAAACACCCTTTTTGCAGAATCTGCAAATGGATAATTGGAGTTCTTTGAGGCCTATGGTGAAAAAGGAAATATCTTCACATAAAAACTAAACAAAAGATTTCTGAGAAACTGCTTTGTAATGCGTGCATTAATCTCACAGCTTTGAAACTTTCTTTTGATTGAGCAGTTTGTAAACAGTCTTTTTGTAGAATCTGCAAATGGATATTAGGAGTGCTTTGAGGCCTATGGTGAAAAAGGAAATATCTTCACAAAAAAAACTAGAAAGAAACATTCTGAGAAACTTCTTTGTGATGTGTGCTTTCATCTCCCAAAGTTGAACCTTTCTTTTCACTGAGCAGTTTGGAAACAGACTTTTTGTAGAATCTGGAAATGCACATTGAGAGTACTTTGAGGCCTATGGTGAAAAAGGAAATATCTTCAGATAAACACTAAACAGAAACTTTCTGAGAAACTTCCTTGTGATATGTGCATTCATATCACAGAGCTGAACCTTTCTTTTGATTTAGCAGTTTGTAAACAGTCTTTTGGTAGAATCTCCAAATGGATACTTGGAGTGGTTTGAGGCCTATGGTGAAAGGGAAAAGATCCTCACAAAAAAAACTAGGAAGATACATTCTGAGAAACTTCTTTGTGATGTGTGCTTTCACCTCACAGAGTTGAAACTTTCTTTTCATTGAGCAATTTGGAAACAGTCTTTTTGTGGAATCTGCAAATGGATATTTGGAGTGCTTTGAGGCCTATGGTGAAAAAGGAAATATCTCACATAAACACTAGACAGAAGCATTCTGAGAAACTTTTTTGTGTTGTGTCCATTCATCTCACAGAGTTGAACCTTTCTTTGTATTGAGCAGTTTGGAAACAATCTTTTTCTAGAATCTGCAAAAAATATTTGTGAGCCCTTTATGGCCCATGGTTTAACAGGAATTATCCTCACAGAAAAACTAGACAGAAGCTTTCTGAGAAACTTCTTTGTGATGTGTGCTTTCAACTCACAGAGTTGTACCTTTCTTTTGATTGAGCAGTTTGGAAACAGTCTTTTTGTGGAATCTGCAAATGGATGTTTGGAGCGCTTTGAGGCCTATGGTGAAAAAGGAAATACCTTCACATAGAAACTAGGCAGAAGCATTCTGAGAAACATCTCTGTGATGTGTGCATTCATCTCATAGAGGTGAATCTTTCTTTGACTGAGCAGTTTGGAAACAGTCCTTTTGTAGAATCTGCAAAGGGATATTTCTGAGCCCATTGAAGCATAGGGTGAAAAAGTAATATCTTCACATAAAAACTAGACAGAAGCATTCTAGTAAACTTTTTTGTGATGTGTCCATTCATCTCACAGAGTTGAAACTTTCTTTGGATTGAGCAGTTTGGAAACAGTCTTTTTGTAGAATCTGCAAAAAATATTTGTGAGCCCTATATGGCCTGTGGTGAAATAGGAAATATCTTCACAAAAAAACTAGACAGAAACTTTCTGAGAAACTTCTTTGTGATGTGTGCTTTCATGTCACAGAGTTGAACCTTTCTTTTGATTGAGCAGTTTGGAAACACTCTTTTTGTAGAATCTGCAAATGGGTATTTGGACTGCTTTGAGGCCTATGGTGAAAAAGGAAACATATTCACATAGAAAATACTGGACAGATGCATTCTGAGAAACTTCTTTGTGACGTGTGCATTCATCTCACAGAGTTGAATCTTTCTTTGGATTCAGCAGTTTTCTAAACAGTCCTTTTGTAGCATCTGCAAAGGGATATTTCTTAGCCCATTGAGGCCTATGGTGAAAAGGAAACATCTTTAAATAAAAACAAAATAGAAGCTCTCTGAGAAACTTCTTTGTGATGTGTGCATTCATCTCAGAGTGTTGGACCTTTCTTTTGATTGAGCAGTTTGGAAACAGTCTTTTTGTAAAATCTGCAAAAGGATATTTCTGAGCTGTTTGAGGCCTATGGTGAAAAACAAATATCTTCACATAAAAACTAGACAGAAGCATTCTGAGAAACTTCTTTCTGATGTGTGCATTCATCTCACAGAGTTGAACCTTTCTTTTGTTTGAGCAGTTTGGAAACAGTCTTTTTTTAGAATGTGCAAACAGATATTGGTGAACCCTTTACAGCCTATGATGAAATAGGAAATATCTTCACATAAAAACTAAAAAGAATCATTCTGAGAAACTTCTGTGTGATGTGTACATTAATCTCACAGAGTTGAGCCATTGTTTTCATGGAGCAGTTTGGAAACAGTCTTCT
Source organism: Homo sapiens (assembly GCF_000001405.40). NCBI lineage: Eukaryota > Metazoa > Chordata > Mammalia > Primates > Hominidae > Homo > Homo sapiens. The sequence goes on along the minus strand of NC_000020.11, from coordinate 30,475,365 downwards.
TGTGGTATCTGCAGAGGGATATTTGTGAGCAGTTTAAAGCCTATGGTGAAAAAGGAAATATCTTAACATAAATACTAGACAGAAGCATTCTGAGAAACTTCTTTTTCATGTGTGCATTCATCTCACAGAGATGAATCTTCCTTTTCATTGAGCAGTTTGGAAACCGTCTTTTTGTACAATCTGCAAAGGGATATTTCTGAGCCGTTTGGGGCCTATGGTGAAAAAGTAATATCTTCACATAAAAACTATACAGAAGGAATCTGAGAAACTTCTGTTTTATGTGTGCTTTCACATCACAGAGTTGAAACTTTCTTTTCATTGAGCAGTTCGGAAACAGTCGTTTTGTAGAATCTGCAAAAGGATATTTGTGGGTTCATTGAGGCCTGTGGGGAAATAGGAAATATCCTCACACAAAACTAGACAGAAGCTTTCTGAGAAACTTCTTTGTGATGTGTGCTTTCATCACACAGAGTTGAACCTTTCTTTTGATTGAGCAGTTTGGAAACAGTCTTTTTGTGGAATCTGCAAATGGATGTTTGGAGTGCTTTGAGGCCTATGGTGAAAAAGTAAATATCTTCACATTAAAACTAGACAGAAACATTCTGAGAAACTTCTTTGTGATGTGTGCATTCATCTCATGTTGTTGAGCCTATCTTTTGTTTTAGCAGATTGGAAACAGTCCTTTGTTGTATCTGCAGAGGGATATTTGTGAGTGGTTTGAGGCCTATGGTGAAAAAGGAAATACCTTCACATAAAAACTAGACAGAAGCATTCTGGGAAACTTCTCTGTGATGTATGCATTCAATTCACACAGGTGAACCTTTCTTTAGATTGAGAAGTTTGGAAACAGTCTTTTTTGAGAATCTGCAAAGGGATATTTCTGAGCCCATTGAGGCCTAGGGTGAAAAACAAATATCTTCACAAAAAAACTGAACAGACGCATTCTGAGAAATTTTTTTGTGATGTGTCCATTCATCTCACAGAGTTGGACCTTTCTTTGGATAGAGCAGTTTGGAAACAGTCTTTTTGAAGAATCTGCAAAAAATATTTGTGAGCCCTTTATGGCCTACGGTGAAATAGGAAATATCTTCACATAAAAACTAGACAGAAACTTTCTGAGAAACCAGTTTGCGATGTGTGCTTTCATCTCACAGATTTGAACATTTCTTTTGAATGAGCAGTTTGGAAACACTCTTTTTGTAGAGTCTGTAAATGGATATTTGGAGCACTTTGAGGCCTATGGTGAAAAAGGAAATATCTTCACATAAAAACCAGACAGAAGCATTCTGAGAAACTTCTTTGTGATGTGTGTATTCATCTCACAGAGTTGAACATTTCTTTGGATGCAGCAGTTTGGAAACAGTCTTTTTGTAGTATCTGCAGAGGGATATTTGTGAGCAGTTTAAGGCCTATGGTTAAAAAGGATATATCTTCACATAAAAGCTCGACAGATCCATTGTGAGGAACTTCTTTGAGATGTGTGCATTCATCTCACAGAGTTGAAACTTTCTTTGGATTGAGCAGTTTTCTAAACAGTCCTTTTGTAGAATCTGCAAAGGGATATTTCTGAGCCCATTGAGGCCTATGGTGAAAACAGAAATATCTTCACATGAAAGCTAAACAGAAGCTTTCTGAGAAACTTCTTTGTGATGTGTGCATTCATCTCACAGTGTTGAAACTTTCTTTTGATTGAGCAGTTTGGAAACAGTCTTTTTGTACAATCTGCAAAGGGATATTTCTGAGCTATTTGAGGCCTACAGTGCAAGAGAAATATCTTCAGATAAAAACAAGACAAAAAAATTCTGAGAAACTTCTTTATGATGTGTGCATTCACCTCACAGAGTTGAAACTTTCTTTTCATTGAGCAGTTTGGAAACAGTCTTTTTGTAGGATCTGGAAAGGGATATTTGTGAGTCCATTGAGGCCTGTGGTGAAATAGGAAATATCTTCACATAAAAACTAGACAGAAGCTTTCTGAGAAACTTCTTTGTGATGTGTGCTTTCACCTCACAGAGTTGAACTTTCCTTTTGATTGAGCAGGTTAGAAGCAGTCTTTTAGTAGAATCTGCAAATGGATATTTGCAGCATTTTAGGCCTATTATGAACAGGAAATATCTTCATATAAAAACTAGACAGAAGCATTCTGAGAAACTTCTTTGTGGTGTGTGCATTCATGTCACAGAGCTGAAACTTTCCTTTGATTGAGCAGTTTGGAAAGAGTCTTTTGTAGAATCTGCAAAGGGATATTTGTGAGCCCATTGAGGCCTATGGTGAAATAAGAAATATCTTCACATAAAAACTTGACAGAAGCTTTCTGAAAAACTTCTTTGTGCTGTATGCTTTCACCTCACAGAGTTCAACCTCTCTTTTGATTGAGCACTTTGGAAACACTCTTTTTGTAGAGCCTGCAAATGGATACTTGGAGTGTTTTGAGGCCTATGGTGAAAAAGGAAATATCTGCAGATAAAAACTAGACAGAAACTTTTTGAGAAACTTCTTTGTGATGTGTGCTTTCATCTCACATATTTGGACCTTCCTTTTCATTGAGCAGTTTGGCAATAAGTCATTTTGTAGAATCTGCAAAGGGATATTTGTGAGCAGCTTGAGGCCTATGGTGAAAAAGTAATATCTTCACATAAAACCTAGACAGAAGCATTTTGAGAAAACTCATTGTGATGTTTGCATTCATCTCACTGAGTTGAACCTTTCTGTTTACTGAGCAGTGTGGAAACATACTTTTTGTGCAATCTGCAAATGAATATTTGTTTGCGGTTTGAGACCTCTGGTGAAAAAGTAATATCTTCACATAAAAACTGGACAGAAGCATTCTGAGAAACTAATTTTTTATGTGTGCATTCATCTCACAGAGTTGTACCTTTCTGTTTATGAAGTAGTTCAGAAACAGTTTTTTGTAGAATCTGAAAAGGGATATTTGTGATCCCTTTGAGGCCAAAGGTGAAATAGGAAATATCTTCACATAAAAACTAGACAGAAACTTTCTGAGAAACTTTTTGTGATGTGGGCTTTCATCTCACAGATTTGAACCTTTATTTTGATTCAGCAGTTGGGAAAGAGACTTTTTGTAGTATCTGCAGAGGGCTATTAGTGAGTGGACCGAGGCCTATAGTGAAAGAGGAAATGGCTTCTCAGAAAAACTAGACAGAAGCATTCTGAGAAAGTTCTTTGTGATGTGTGCATTCATCTCACAGAGTTAAACCTTTCTTTTGATTGAGCTGTTTGGAAACACTTTTTTTGTAGTATCTGCAAGGGTATACTTCTGAGCCCATTGAGGCCTACTTTGAAATATGAAATATCTTCACATAAAAACTAGATAGAAGGTTTCTAAGAAAGTTCTTTGTGATGTGTGCTTTCATCTCACAGAGTGGAACCTTTCTTTTGATTGAGCAGATTGGAAACACTCTTTTTGTAGAATCTGCAAGTGGATATTTGGAGTGCTTTGAGGCCCATGGTGAAAAAGGAAATATCTTCACATAAAAAGTAAACAGAAGTTTTTTGAGAAACTTCTTTGTTATGTGTGCATTCATCTCACAGAGTTGAACAGTTCTTTTGATTGAGCAATTTGGAAACAGTCTTTTCATGGAATCTGCAGGTGGATATTTGGAGCTCTTTGAGGCCTATGGTGAAAAAAGGAAACTTCTTCACATAAAACTAGACAAAAGCATTCTGAGAAACTTCTTTGTGACGTGTGCTTTCATCTCAGAGTTTAACCTTTCTTTCATTGAGCAGTTTGAAAACAGTCTTTTTGTAGAATCTGAATAGGGATATTTATGAGTGGTTTGAGGCCTATGGTGAAAAAGGCAATACCTTCACGTAAAAACCAGACAGAAGATTTTTGAGAAACCTCTTTGTGATATTTGCATTCATCTCCCAGAGTTGAATCTTCCTTTTCATTGAGCTGTTTGAAAACCGTCTTTTTGCACAATCTGTAAAGGGATATTTCTGAGTGATTTGAGGCCTATGGTGAAAAAGAAATATCTTCACATAAAATTAGACAGAAGCATTCTGGGAAACTTCTCTGTGATATGTGCCTTCATCCCACAGAGTTAAACCTTTCATTGCATTCAGTAGTTTGGAAACAGTCTTTTCAAAGAATCTGCAAAGGGACATTTCTGAGCCCTTTGAGGACTATGGTGAAATAGGAAATATCTTCACATAAAAACTAGACAGAAGTTTTTGAGAAACTTCTTTGTGATGTGTGCTTTCATCTCACAGAGTTGAACCTTTTTTTTTGATTGAGCAGTTTGGAGACAGTCCTTTTGTAGAATCTGCAAAGGGATATTTCTGAGCCCTTTGAGTCCTATAGCAAAATAGGAAATATCTTCACATAATAACTGGACAGAAGCATTCTGAGAAACTTCTTTGTGATGCGTGCTTTCATATCACAGATTTGAACCTTTCTTTCCATTGAGCAGTTTGGGAACAAGTCATTGTATAGAATCTGCAAAGGTATATTTTTGAGCAGTTTGAGGCCTATGGTGAAAAACTAAATATCTTCACATAAAAACCAGGCAGAAGTTTTTGAGATAACTCTTTGTGATGTTTGCATTCATCTCAAAGAGTTGAACCTTTCTGTTCATTGAGGAGTTTGGAAACATTCTTTTTGTGCAATCTGCAAAGGAATATTTCTGAGTAGTTTCAGGCCTGTGGTGAAAAAGAAATATCCTCACATAAAAACTAGACAGAAGCATTCTGAGAAACTTCTTTTTTATATGTGCATTCACCTCACAGAGTTGAAATTTTTTGTCATTTAGCAGTTTGGAAACAGTCTTTTTGTAGAATCTGCAAAGGGATATTTGTGATCCCTTTGAGGCCTATGGTGAAATAGGAAATATCTTCATATAAATACTAGACAGCAGCTTTCTGAGAAACTACTTTGTGATGTGTGCTTTCATCCTACAGAGTTGAAACTTTCTTTTGATTGATCACTTTGGAAACAGTCTTTTTGAAGAATCTACAAATGGATATTTGGAGAGCTTTGAGGCCTACAGTCAAAAAGGAAATATACTCACATAAAAACTAGACAAAAACATTTTGTGAAACTTCTTTGTGATGTGGGCTTTCATTTCACAGAGTTGAAACTTTGCCTTGATTGAGCAGTTTAGAAACAGTCTTTTTGTACAATCTGCAAAGGGATATTTCTGAGCCATTTGAGGCCTATGGTGAAAACAAAACATCTGCACATAAAAACTAGACAGAAGCATTCATGAGAAACTTCTTTGTGATGTGTCCATTCATGTCACAGAGTTGAACCTTTCTTTTGATTGAGCAGTTTGGAAACAGTCGTTTTGTAGAATCTGCAAAGGGATATTTGTGAGCCCTTTATGGCCTGTGGTGAAATACGAAATATCTTCACATAAAAACTAGACAGAAGATTTCTGAGAAACTTCTTTGTGATGTGTGCTTTCATCTCACAGTGTTGAACGTTTCTTTTGATTGAGCAGTTTGGAAAGTCTTTTTGTAGAATCTGCAAATGGATATTTGGAGTTATTTGAGGCCCATGGTGAAAAAGGAAGTATCTTCACATAAAAACTAGACAGAAGATTTCTGAGAAACTTCTTTGTGATGTGTGAATTCATGTCACAGAATTCAACCTTTCTTTCGATTGAGCAGTTTGGAAACAGTCTTTTGTAGAAGGTGCAAAGGGAAATTTCTTAGCTGATTCAGGCCTATGGTGAAAAAGAAATAACTTCACATAAAAACCAGACAGAGGCATTCTGAGAAACTTCTTTTTCATGTGTGCATTCATCTCCCAGAGTTGAACCTTTCTTTTCATTGAGAACTTCGGAAACAGTCTTTTTGTAGAATCTGCCAAAGGATCTATGTGAGCCCATTGAGGCCCACGGTGAAATAGGAAATATCTTCACAGAAAAACTAGACAGAAGCATTCTGAGAAACGTCTTTGTGATGTTTGCATTCATCTCAGAGAGTTGAAACTTTATTTTGATTGAGCAGTTTGGAAGCAGTCTTTTTGATATATCTGCAAATGGATATTTGGAGCGCTCTGTGGCTTGTGGTGAAAAACTAAATATCTTCATATAAAATCTAGTGAGAAACTTTCTGAAGAACTTCTTTGTGATGTGTGCTTTTATCTCACAGACTTGAACCTTTCTTTTCATTGAGCAGTTTGGAAGCAGTCTTTTTGAAGTATATGCAGAGGGATATTTGGGAGCGGTTTAAGGCCTATGGTGAAAAAGTAAATATCTTCAGATAAAAACTAGATAGAAGCATTCTGAGAAAGTTCTTTGTGATGTGTACATTCATCACACAAAGTTGAAAATTTCTTTTGATTGAGCAGTTTTGAAACAGTCTTTTTGTCCAATCTGCAAAGGGATACTTCTTAGATGTTTGAGGCCTATGGTGAAAAAGAAATATCTTCACATAAAAACTAGACAGAAGCTTTCTGAGAAACATCTTTGTGATGTGTTCATTCATCTCATACAGTTGAAATTTTCTTTTGATGGAGCAGCTTGGAAACAGTCTTTTTGTATATTCTGTAAAGGGATATTTGTGATCCCTTTATGGCCTAAGGTGAAATACGAAATATCTTCACATAAAAACTAGACGGAAGCTTTCTGAGAAACTTATTTGTGATGTGTCCTTTCACCTCACAGAGTTAAAATTTTCCTTTGTTAGAACAGTTTGGAAAGAAGCCTTTTGTAGGATCTCCAAAGGGATATTTTTGAATCCACTGAGGCGTATGGTGAAAAAGGAAATATCTTCACATTAAAACTACAAAGAAACCATCTGAGAAACTTCTTTGTGATGTGCACTTTCATTTCACATGTTGAACCTTTTCTTTGATTGAGCAGTTTGGAAAGAGTCTTTTTGGACAATCTGCAAAGGGATATTTCTGAGTCATTTGAGGCCTGTGTTGAAAAAGAAATATCTTCACATAAAAACTAGACAGAAGCATTCTGATAAACTACTTTGTGATGTGTGCATTCATCTCACTGGGTTGAATCTTTGTTTTGATTGAGTAGTTTGGAAAAAGTCTTTTTGTAGAATCTGCAAAGGGATATTTGGAGAGCTTTCAGCCCTATGTTGAAAAAGGAATTATATTCACATAAAAAGTAGACAGAAGCTTTCTGAGAAACTTCTTTGTGTCGTGTGCATTTGTCTCACATAGTTGAATCTTTCTTTTGATTGAGCAGGTTGGAAACAGTCTTTTTATAGTATCTGCAGAGGGATATTTGTGAGCAGTTTGACACCTATGGTGAGAAAGGAAATATCTACACATAAAATCTAGGCAGAAGCATTCTGAGAAATTTTGTGATGTGTGAATTCATATAACAGAGTTGAAAATTTCTTTGGAGTGAGCAGTTTGGAAAGAGTCCTTTTGTAGAACCTGCAAAGGGATATTTCTGAACCATTGAGGCCTATGGTGAAATATGAAATATCTTCACATAACAACTAGACAGAATCTTTCTAAGAAACTTCTTTGTGATGTGTGCTTTCATCTCAAAGAGTTGAAACTTTCTTTTGATTGAGCAGTTTGGAAGCATTCGTTTTCTGGAATCTGCAAATAGATATTTGGAGAGTTTTGAGGCCTATCGTGAAAAATGAATTATATTCACATAAGAAGTAGACAGAAGCATTCTCTGAAACTTCTTTGTGACGTGTGCATTCGTCTCACAGAGTTGAACATTTATTTTGATTGAGCAGTTTGGAAACAGTCTTTTTTGTAGTATCTGCAGGGGGATATTTGTGAGCAGTTTGAGGCCTATGGTGAAAAAGGAAATATCTTCACATGAAAACTAGACAGAAGCATTCTGAGAAACTTTTGTGATGTGTGCATTCATCTCACAGAGTTGAATCTTTCTTTAGTTTGAGCAGTTTGGAAACAGTCCTTTTGTAGAATATGAAAAGGGATATTTCTGAGCCCATTGAGGCCAATGGTGAAATACAAAATATCTTCACATAATAACTAGACAGAAGCTTTCTAAGAAACTTCTTTGTGATGTGTGCTTTCATTTCACAAAGTTGAAAGTGTCTTTTATTTGAGCAGTTTAGAAAGACTCTTTTTGTAGAATCCGTAAATGGATATTTGGAGCACTTTGAGGCCCATGGTGAAAAAAGAAATATCTTCACATAAAAACTAAACAGAAACTTTCTGAGAAACTTGTTTGTGATGTCTACATTCATCTGACAGAGTTGAATGTTACTTTTGATTGAGCATTTTGGAAAGAGTATTATTGTACAATATGGAAAGGGATATTTCAGAGCCATTAGAGTCCTATGGTGAAAGAGAAATATCTTCACATGAAAAGTAGACAGTAGCATTATGAGAAACTTCTTTGTGATGTGTCCATTCATCTCACAGAGTTGAACCTTTCTTTTGATTGAGCAATTTGGAAAAAGTCTTTTTATAGAATCTGCAAAGTGATATTTGTGAGTCCTTTGTGGCCTCAGATGAAATAGGAAATATCTTCACATAAAAACTAGACAGAAGCTGTCTGAGTAACTTCTTTGTGATGTATGCTTTCATCTCACAGAGTTAAAAATTTCTTTTTATTGAGCAGTTTGGAAACAGTCTTTTGTAGAATCTGCAAATCGATATTTGGATCACTCTGAGGCCTATTGTTAGAAGGGAAGTATCTTCACATAAAAACTAGACAGAAGCTTTCTGAGAAACTTCTTTGTGATGTGTGCTTTCATCTCACAGAGTTGAACCATCCTTTAGATTGAGCAGTTAGGAAACAGTCTTTTTCTACAATCTGAAAAGGGATATTTCTGAGGGGTTTGAGGCCTATGGTGATAAAGAAATATCTTCATATAAAAACTAGACAGAAGCATTCTGAGAAACTTCTTTGTGATGTGTGCATTCATCTCACAGTGTTGAACATTTCTTTTAATTGAGCAGTTTGGAAACAGTCTTTTTGTACAATCTACAAAGGGATATTTCTGAACGGTTTGATGCCTATGTTGAAAAAGAAATATCTACATATAAATACTAGACAGAAGCATTCTGACAAACTGCTTTTTTATGTGTACATTTGTCTCACAGAGTTGAAACTTTCTTTGCATGGAGCAGTTCAAAAACAGTCTTTTTGTAGAGTCTGCAAGGGGATATTTGTGAGCTCTTTGATGCCTATGGTGAAATACGAAATATCTTCACATAAAAACTAGACAGAAGCATTATGAGAAACTTCTTTATGATGTGTGTTTTCATCTCACAGAGTTGAACATTATTTTTGATTGAGCAGTTTGGAAACACTCTTTTTGTAGAATCTGCAAATGGATGTGTGGAGTGCTTTGAAGCCTATGTTGAAAAAGGAAATATCTTCACATAAAACTAAACAGAACCTTTCTGAAAAACTTCTTTGTGATGTGTGCATTCATCTCACAGAGTTGAACCTTTCTTTTGATTGAGCGGTTTGGAAACAGTCTTTTTGTAGAATCTGCAAATTGATATTTGAGGCGCTTTGAGCCTATTGTGAAGAAGGAACTATCTTCACATAAAAACTAGATAGAAACTTTCTGAGAAACTTCTTTGTGATGTTTGCGTTCATCTCATAGAGTTGAACCTTTCTTTTCATTTGACAGTTTGGAAACAGTCTTTTTGTACAATATGTAAAGGGATATTTCTGAATGGTTTGAGGCCTATGGAGAAAAACAAATATGACAGATAAAAACTAGCCAGAAGCATTCTGAGAAACCTCTTTTTCATGTGTGCATTTATCTCACAGAGTTGAACCTTTCTTTTCATGTAGCTGTTCGGAAACAGTCTTTTTGTAGAATCTGCAAATGGATATTTGGAGCACTTTGAGGCCTGTGGTGAAAAAGGAAATCTCTTCACATAAAAACTAGACAAAAGCATTTTGAGAAACTTCTTTGTGACGTGTGCAGTCATCTCACAGAGTTGAAAGTTTCTTTTGATTGAGCAGTTTTCAAGCAGCCTTTTTGTAGTATCTGCAGAGGGATATTTGGGAGCGGTTTAAGGCCTATGGTGAAAAAGAAAATATCTTCACATAAAAACTAGACAGAACCATTCTGAGAAACTTCTTTATGATGTGTGCATTCATCTCACACATTTGAACCTTTCTTTTCATTGAGCAATTTGGAAACAGTCTTTTTGTGCAATCTGTAAAGGGATATTCCTTAGCCATCTGAGGCTTATGGTGAAAAAGACATATCTTCCCATAAAAACTAGACAGAAGCTTTCTGAGAAACTACTTTGTGATGTGTCCATTCATCTCATACAGTTGAACCTTTGTTTTAATTGAGCTGTTTGGAAACAGTCTTTTTGTAGATTCTGCAAAGGGATATTTGTGATCCCTTTATGGCCTATAGTGAAATAGGAAATATCTTCACTTAACAACTAGACAAACATTCTGAGAAACTTATTTGTGATGTGTGCTTTCATCTCACAGAGTTGAAACTTTCTTTTGATTGAGCAGTTTGGAAAGAGGCCTTTTGTAGTATCTGAAAAGGGATATTTTTGAGCCCTTTGAGGCCTATGATGAAAGAGGAAATATCTTCACATATAAACTAGATAGAAACTTTCTGAGACAATTCTTTTTAATGTGTGCTTTCATCTTACAGAGTATAATCTTTCTTTTCATTAAACAGTTTGGAAACAGTCTTTTTGTAAAATCTGCATAGGGATATTTCTGAGCGGTTTGAGGCCTATGATGAAAAAGAAATATCTTCACATAAAAACTAGACAGAAGCATTCTGAGAAACTTCTTTTTTAGGTGTGCATTTATCTCACAGAGTTGAAACTTAGTTTTCATTGAGCAGTTCTGTAACAGTCTTTTTGTAGAATCTGCAAAGGGATATTTGTGAGCCCTTTGAGGCCCATGGTGTAATAGGAAATACCTTCACAGAAAAACTAAAAAGAAGCATTCTGAGTAACTTCTTTGTGATTTGTGCTTTCATCTCACAGAGTCGAACCTTTCTTTTGATTGAGCAGTTTGGAAACAGTCTTTTTGTAGTATCTGCAGAGGCATATTTGTGAGCAGTTTAAGGCCTATGGTGAAAAAGGAAATATCTTCACATAAAAACTAGACAGAAGCATTCTGAGAAACTACTTTATGATGTTTGCATTCATCTCACAGAGTTGAATCTTCCTTTTGATTGAGCAGTTTAGAAACACTCTTTTTGTAGAATCTACAAATGGATATTTGGAGTGCTTTGAGGCCTATGGTGAAAAAGGAAATATCTTCACATAAAAACTAAACAGAAGCATTCTGAGAAACGTCTTTGTGATGAGTGTATTCATTTCACAGTGTCAAACCTTTGTTTTGATTGAGCAGTTTGGAAACAGTCTTTTTGTACAATCTGCAACGGGATATTTCTGAGCTGTTTGAGGCCTATGGTGAAAAACAAATGTCTTCACATAATAACTAGACAGATGCACTCTGAGAAACTTCTTTGTGTGGTGTCCATTCCTTGATCAGAGTTGAACCTTTCTTTTCGTTGATCAGTTTGGAAAAAGTCTTATTGTAGAATCTGCAAAGGGGTATTTGTCAGCCCTTTGAGGACTAAGGTGAAATAGGAAATATCTTCACATAAAAACTAGACAGAACATTCTGAGAAACTTCTTTCTGACATGTGTATTACTCTCACAGTGTAGAACCTTTCTTATGAATGCACAATTCAGAAACAGTCTTTTTGTACTAACTGCATAGGGATATTTGTGAATGGTTTGCAGCCTATGGTGAAAAAGGAAATATCTTCACAGAAAACTAGACAGAAGCATTCTGGGAAACTTCCTTATGATGTGTGCTTTCATCTCACAGAGCAGAACTTTTCTTTTGATTTAGCAGATTGGAAACAGTCTTTTTGTAGTATCTGCAGTGGTATATATCTGAGCATTTTGAGGCCTATGGAGATGAAGAAATATCATCACATAAAAACTAGACAGAAGCATTCTGAAAATTTCGTAATGTGTTTATTCATCACACGGATTTGAACCTTTCTTTTGATTGAGCTGTTTGGAAACAATCCTTTTGTATAACCTGCAAAAAGATATTTCTGAACCAATTGAAGCCTCTGTTGAAACAGGAAATATCTTCACATAAAAACTAGACAGAAGTCTTCCGAGAAACTTCTGTGTTGTGTGTGCATTCATCTCACAGAGTTGAACATTTATTTTGATTGAGCAGTTTGGAAACAGTCTGTTTTGAGTATCTGCAGAGAGATATTTGTAAGTAGTTTAAGGCCTATGTTGAAAAAGGAAATGTGCTCACATAAAAACTAGACAGAAGCATTCTGAGAAACTTCTTTGTGATGTGTGCATTCATCTCACAGAGTTGAACCTTTCTTTTGATAGAGCAGTTTGGAAACACTCTTTTTTGTAGAAAATGCAAATGGATATTTGGAGCAATTTGATCCTAAGGTGAAATAGGAAGTGTCTTCAAATAAAAACTAGACAGAAGCTTTCTGACAAACTTCTTTCTGATGTGTACATTCATCTCACAGAGTTGAAACTTTCTTTAGATTGAGCAGTTTGGAAACAATTTTTTTGTAGGATCTACAGAGGGATATTTTTGAGCAGTTTGAGGCCTATGGTGAAAAAGGAACTATCTTCACATAAAGACTAGAGAGAAGCATTCTGAGAAAGTTCTTTGTGATGTGTGCATTCATCTCACAGAGATTAACTTTTGTTTTCATTAAGCAGTTTGCAAACAGTGTTTTTGCAGAATCTGAAATGGGATATTTGTGAGCCCTTTGAGGCCTATGGTGAAATAGGAAATATCTTCACATAAAAACTTGTCAGAAACTTTCTGAGTAACTTCTTTGTGATATGTGTGTTCATCTCACAGAGTTGAACCTTTGTTTTGACTGAGCAGTTTGGAAACAGTCTTTTTGTAGAATCTGCAAAAGGATATTTTGTGGGCTTTGAGGCCTATGGTGAAAAAGGAAATATCTTCACATAAAAACTAGACAGAAGCTTTCTGAGAAACTTCTTTGTGATTTGTGAATTCATCTCACGGAGTTGAAACTTTCTTTTGATTGAGCAGTTTGGAAACAGTCTTTTTGTAGAATATGCAGAGGGATATTTGTGAGCGGTTTGTGGACTAAAGTTAAAAAGGAAATATCTTCACATTAAAACTAGACAGAAACATTTTGAGAAACTTCTTTCTGATGTGTGCATTCATTTAACAGATGTGAATCTTTCTTTTGATTGAGCACTCTGGAAACAATCTTTTTGAAAATCTGCAGAGGGATATTTGTGAGAGGTTTGAGAACTATGGTGAAAAAGGAGATATCTTCACATAAAAACTAGACAGAAGGATTCTGAGAAACATCTTTGTGATGTGTTCATTAAATGCACAAAGTTGAATCTTTCTTTTGATTGAGCAGTTTGGAAGCAGTCTTTTTGTAGAATCTGCATAGGGATATTTGTGAGCCCATTGAGGCCTATGTTGTAAAAGGAATTATCTTCACATAAAAACTAGACAGAAGCTTTCTGAGAAACTTCTTTGTGATGTGTGTGTTCACCTCACAGAGTTGAACCTTTCTTTTGATTGAGTAGTTTGGAAACAGTCTTTTTTAGAAACTGCAAGGAATATTTGTGAGTGGTTTGAGACCTATGGTGAAAAAGGAATTATCCACAAGTAAAATCTAAACAGAAGCTTTCTGAGAAACTTCTTTGTGATGTGTGCATTCATCTCACATAGTTGAACTTTTATTTTGATTGAGCAGTTTTTAAACAGTCTTTTTGTACAATCTGCAAAGTGATATCTGTGAACGCTCTCAGGCTTATGGTGAAAAAGGAAATATCTTCACCTAAACCTATAGAGAAGCTTTCTGAGAAACTAGTTTAGGATGTATGCATTCATCTCACATAGTTGAATATTTGTTTTGATTCATCAGCTCAAAAACAGTCTTTTTGTAGAATCTGTAAAGGGATATTTGAAGGCGTTTTGAGGCATATGGTGAAAAAGGAAATATCTTCACATAAAAACTAGACAGAATCTTTCTGAGCAACTTCCTTGTGATGTGTGTATTCATTTCACAGAGTTGAAACTTTCTTCTGACTTATTGGGTTGGAAACAATCTTTTTGTAGAATATGCAAAGGGATATTTATGAGTGGTTTGAGGTCTGAGGTGAAAAAGGAAATATCTTCACATAAAACCTAGAGAGAAGCATTCTGAGAAACTTCTTTGTGATGTGTGCATTCATTTCAGAGAGTTGAACCTTTCTTTTCATTGGGCAGTTTGGAAACTGTCTTTTTGTAGAATCTGCAAAGTGATATATTTCAGCAGTTTGAGTCCTATGGTGAAAAAGGAAATATCGAAAAATAAAATGTAGACAGCAGCTTTCTGAAAAACTTCTTTGTGATGTGTGCATTCATCTCACAGGGTTGAAACTTTCTTTTGATTGAGCAGTTTGGAAACAGTCTTTTCGTAGAAGCTGCAAAGTGATATTTGTGAATGCTTTGAGGCTTATGGTGAAAAAGGAAATATCTTCACGTAAAAACTAGACTCATGTTTTCTGGGAAACTTCTTTGTGATGGGTGTATGCATCTCAAAGAGTTTAATCTTTCTTTTGATTGAGCAGTTCGGAAACAGTCTTTTTGGAGAATCGGCAAAGGGATGTTTTTGAGCAGTTTGAGGCATGTGGTGAAAAAATAAATATCTTCATATAAAAACTAGAGAGAAGCATTCTGAGAAATCACTTTGTGATGTATGCATTCATCTCACAGAGTTGAATTTTCTTTCATTGAGCAGTTTGAAAACAGTCTTTTTGTAGCATATGCAAAGGGATATTTGTGAGTTTTTTGAGGCCTATTGTGAAAAAGGAAATATCCAAAAATAAAATCTAGACAGAAGCCTTCTGAGAAACTTCTTTGTGATGTGTGCATTCATCACACAGAGTTGAATGTTTCTTTTGATTGAGCACTTTGGAAACAGTCTTTTCATAGAATCTGCAAAGGAAAATTTGTGAACGCTTTGAGGTTTATGGTGAAAAAGAAGTATCTTCACATAAAAACTAGACAGAAACGTTCTGAGAAACTTCTTTGTGATGTGTGCATTCATCTCACACAGCTGAAGTTTCGTTTGATTGAGCAGTTTGGAAACAGTCCTTTTGTAGAATCTGCAAAGGATTATTTATGAGCAGTTTGAGGCCTGTGGTGAAAAAGGGAGTATTGACAAATAAGAACTAGACAGAAACTTTCTGAGAAACTTCTCTGTGATGTCTGCATTCATCTCACAGAGTAGAAGCTTTCTTTGATTGAACAGTTTGGAAACAATCTTTTTGTAGAATTTGCAAAGGGATATATGTAGGCAGTTTCAGGTCTGTGGTGAAAACGGTAATATCTTCACATAAAAACTAGACAGAAGTTTTCTGAGAAAATTCTTTGTGATGTGATCATTCATCTCACAGATTTGAAGTGTTCTTTTCATTGACCAATTTGGATAGAGTCTTTTTGTAGAATCTGCTTTGCGATATTTGTGAGCCCTTTGAAGCCTACAGTGAAAAAAGAAATGTCTTCACACAAAAACTAGACAGAAGCTTTCTGAGAAACTTCGTTGTGATGTGTGCATTCATCCCAAAGAGTTGAACCTGTCTTTGGATTGAGCAGTTAGGAAACAGTCCTTTTGTAGAATGTACAAAGGGATATTTGGGATCCCTTTTTGGCCTATGGTGAAAAAGGAAATGTCTTCACATAAAAACTAGACAGAAGCATTCTGAGAAACTTCTTTTTTATGTGTGCATTCTTCTCACAGAGTTGAACCTTTTTTTAGATAGAGCAGGTTGGAAAATGTCTTTTTGTAGAATCTTCAAAGTGATAATTTGAATGTGTTGAGACTTATGGTGAAAAAGGAAATATCTTCACATAAAAACTGGACAGAAGCTTTCTGAGAAACTTCTTTGTGATGTGTGCATTCATATCAAAGAGTTGGAGCTTTGTTTTGGTTGAGCAGTTTGGAATCAGTCTTTTTGTAAAACCTATAAAGGGACATTTGTGAGCACTTTGAGGCCTACATTGAAAAAGGAAACATCTTCAAATAAAAGCTAGATAGAAGCTTTCTGAGAAACTTTTTTTGTGATATGTGCATTCACCTCACAGATTTGAACCTTTCTTTTGATTGAGTAGTTTGGAAACAGTCTTTTTGTAGAATATGCAAAGGGTTATTTATGAGCAGTTTGAGGCCTATGGTGAAAAAGGGAGTATCAACAAATAAAAACTAGACAGAAACTTTCTGAGAAACTTCTCTGTGATGTGTGCATTCATCTTGCAGAGTGGAAGCTTTCTTTGAGCCTTTTGGAAACAGTCTTTTTATAGAATCTGCAAAGGGATATATGTAGGCGGTTTGAGGTCTATGTTGAAAACGGAAATATCTTCACATAAAAACTAACTGCTCAATGGTAAGAAATTTTACTTCTGTGTGATGAATGCACACGTCACAAAGGAACTACTCAGAAAATTTCTTTCTACTTTTTATGTGAAGATATTTCCTTTTCCACCATATGCCTCAATGTTCTCCCAGATATCCCTTTGCAGATTCTATGAAAAGACTGTTTCCAAACTGCTCAATAAACAGAGTGGTTCAACCCTGTGAGACGAATGTGCACATCACAAAGAAGTTTCCCAGAAAACTTCCTTCTCGTTTTTATGTGAAGATATTTCTTTTTTGAACATAGGCCTCAACTCACTCCCAAATATGCCTTTGCAGAAACTACAAAAAGACTATTTCCAAACTGCTCAATCAAAAGAAAGTTTCAACTCTGTTAGATGAATGCACACATCAGAAAGTAGTTTCTCAGCAAGCTTCTCACTAGTTTTTATGTGAAGATAGTTCCTTTTTCATCGTGGGTCTCAAAGCACTCAAAAATTTCCCTTTGCAGATTCTAGAATAACAGAGTTTACAAACTGCTCAAAAAAAAGTAACGTTTACCTTTGTGAGATGAATATACACATATCTTAAAGCAGCTTCTCAGAATGCTTCTTTCTAGTTTTTAATGTGAAGATATTTCCTTTTTCACCATAGGCCTCAATGCGCTCCTAAATATCCGTTTGCAGATTGTACAAAAAGACTTTTTCCAAACTGCTCAATAAAAAGAATTTTTGAACACTGTGAGATGAGTGCACACATCTCAAAGAAGTTTCTCAGGAACCTTCAGTCTAGTTTTTATGTGAATATATTTCCTTTTTCACCATAGGCCTCAAAGCGCTCCAAATATCCATTTGCAGATTCTACAAAAAGACTGTTTCCAAACCACTCAATAAAAAGAATTTTTGAACACTGTGTGATGAGTGCACACATCTCAAAGAAGTTTCTCAGGAACCTTCAGTCTAGTTTTTATGTGA
Organism: Homo sapiens; assembly: GCF_000001405.40. Lineage (NCBI taxonomy): Eukaryota > Metazoa > Chordata > Mammalia > Primates > Hominidae > Homo > Homo sapiens. The sequence continues at coordinate 30,458,077 of NC_000020.11, read as the reverse complement.
ATATATTTCCTTTTTCACCATAGGCCTCAAAGCGCTCCAAATATCCATTTGCAGATTCTACAAAAAGACAGTTACCAAACTGCTCAATCAAAACAAAGGTTCAGCTCTGTGTGATGAATGCACACATCACAAAGAAGTTTCTCAGAATGCTTCTGTCTAGATTTTATGTGAAGATACTTGCTTTTTCACCATAGGCCTCAAAGTGTTCACAAATATCCCTTTACAGATTCTACAAAACTACTTTTTCTAAATTGCTCAATCAAAAGAAAGGTTCAACTCTGTGAGATGCATGCACACCACAAAGAGGTTTCTCAGAAAGCTTCTCTCTAGTTTTTATGTGAAGATATTTCCTTTTTCACCATAGGCCTCAAAGCATTCACAAATATCCCTTTGCAGATTCCACAAAAAGACTCGTTACACACTGCTCAAACAAAAGAATGTTTCAACTCTGTGAGATGAATGCTCACATCACCACAATGTTTCTCAGAAAGCTTCTGTGTAGTTTTTATGTGAAGATATTTCCTTTTTCACCATACGCCTTCAAGGGCTCACAAATATCCCTTTGCAGATTTTACAAGAAAAGAGTTTCCGATCTTCTCAATGAAAAGAAACAGACACGGCCGGGCGCGGTGGCTCATCCCTGTAATCCCAGCACTTTGGGAGGCTGAGGCGGGCAGATCACGAGGTCAGGAGATCGAGACCATCCTGGCTAACACGGTGAAACCCCGTCTCTACTAAAAATACAAAAAATTAGCCGGGCGAGGTGGCGGGCGCCTGTAGTCCCAGCTACTCGGGAGGCTGAGGCAGGAGAATGGCGTGAACCTCAGGGGGCAGAGCCTGCAGTGAGCCGAGATTGCGCCACTGCACTCCAGCCTGGGCGACAGCGAGACTCCGTCTCAAAAAAAAAAAAAAAAAAAAAGAAAAGAAACAGACACATCTGGGAGATGAATGCACATATCACAAAGCAGTTTCTCAGAAACATTCTGTCTAGTTTTTATGTGAAGGTATTTCCTTTTTCACCACTGGAAGCAAAGCGCTCAAAATTGTCCCTTTGCAGATTCTACAAAAAGTCTGTTTCCACAGTGCTCATCAAAAGAAAGGTTCAACTCTGTGAGATGAATGCACACATCAAAAAGAAGTTTCTCAGAAAGCTTCTATTAAGTTTTTATGTGAATGTTTCTTTTTTCACCATGAGCCTCAAAGTGCTCACAAATATCCACTTGAAGAATATTAAAAAAGACTGTTTCCAAACTGCTCAATCAAAAGAAAGGTTGAAATGTGTGAGATGAATGCACACATCACAAAGAAGTTTCTCAGAAACCTTCTTTATAGTTTTTCTGTGAAGATATTTCCTTTTTCACCATAGACCTCAAAGCCCTCACAAATATCTCTTTGTAGATTCTACAAAAAGACTGTTTCCAAACTGCTCAATAAAAAGAATTATTGAACTTTGTGAGATGAATGCACACATCTCAAAGAAGTTTCTCAGCAACCTTCAATCCGGTTTTTATATTTCCTTTTTCACCATAGGCCACAAACTGCTCCAAATATCCATTTGCAGATTCTACAAAAAGACTGTTTCCAAACGGCTCAATGAAAAGAAAGTTTCAACTCTGTGAGATGAAAGCCCACATCACAAAGAAGTTCCTCAGAATGATTGTATCTAGTTTTTATGTGAAGATATTTCCTTTTCCACAATAGGCCTCTAAGCACTCCAAATATCCACTTGCAGATTCTACAAACAGAGTGTTTCAAGACTGCTCAATCAAAAAAAATGTTCAAATCTGTGAGATGAATGCAGACATCACAAAGACGTTTCTCAGAATGCTGCTGTCTAGTTTTTATGTGAAGATATTTCCTATTTCCCCAGAGCCCTCAATGGGCTCACAAATATTCCTTTGAATATTCTACAAAATGACTGTTTCGAAGTTGCTCAATCAAAAGAATGGTTCAACACTGTGAGATGAATGCACACATTCAAAGGAAGTTTCTCAGAATTC